>NT_187543.1:0-244096 GCF_000001405.40 Homo sapiens | reverse complement strand
GATCCCTTGAGCCCAGGAGTTCAAGGCTGCAGTGAGCTATGATCTTGCCACTGGACTTTACCCTGGATGACAGAGTGAGACCCCATTTCAAAAATAAAAAAAAGAACTGCCACAATCCAATAATTTCACTTCTGGATATATGTCCAATGAAATTGACATAAGAGTCTTAGAGAGGTGTCTGTCATCCCCTGTTCATTGCAGCATGACACACAATGACCAAAATATGAAAATAACCTAAATGTCCTTTGGCAGAGGAACAGATGAATGGGTAAAGAAAATGTGGCATGTATATATAAAATGAAATATTATCCGACCTTAAAAAAGAAGGAAATCCTTCTATTTGTGAAAACATGGATGGAGCTGGAAGATATTGCACCAAGCAAAAATGCAAGACACAGAGAAAAATACTTCATGATCTCACTTACATGAGGAATCTACAACAGTCAAATTCATAAAAACAGAGAATAGGACAGTGGTTGCCAGGGGCTCAGGGAGGGGAAACGGGGTGATGTTGGTTAAATTGTACAAAGTTCAAGTTATAATAATTTCTGGAGATATAATGTACAACATGGAACAACACTGTGTCATATTCTTGTGTTCTGCTAAAGGACTAGATCATAAATTAATTACTGTCAACACACACAATGGTAAATATGTAGAGATAATAAATATGCTAATTTGCTTGATTGTGGTGATCATTTCAAAAAGTATAAAATATCAAAACATTAAGTTACCTTAAATTTACACAATTTTTATATGTCATGTTATCATCATAAAGCTGTTAAGAAATATTTAGTAAATAATGTCTACAACCTGGGAACTTTCTCATGACAGGGAGGGCTAGAGTAGGAAAATGGAATTTTGCAACAAGGATAGGGTGAGGGACATGGGAAATGATTGATCAAGTATTTAAGAAATGACCTGGGTGGAAGCTACATCAGAGAGTATGAGCTTTAGAGCATCTGTCCTCAAATTTTTGGTTTCAGGACCACTTTACATTTAAAAGTTATTGAGGACCCCAAAGAGCTTTTATTTACTTGGATTATATCTATCTATATTTATCATATTAAACATTAAAGCTGAGAAATTAAAAAAATATACTTATATGTTTACATAAATCACATTTTTATTTAAAGTTATCATTTTTAAACAGTAAAGTTGGTGAGAACATTGACATTGTTTTATATTTTTAAGTATGTCTTTAATGTCTGGTTTAATAGAAGAAAACTTCGTTCTCCTTTCTGCTTCTACATTTAATTTCTTGTGACATCCCACGTCAGGTAGCCTCTGGGAAACTCCAATTATACTTGTGAGAGAATGAAATTGGAAAAGGTCAACAAAACCTGTGTATTTTTATGAAAAGAGTTTTGACCTTGCAGAGCCCCTGGAAGGGACCCAGGGACTTCTCAGGGTTCTCTGGCTCATGTGTTCACAGAGTAGAGGGTAAGTCCACAAGAGAAGGCAGTGATTGGCTGTGGGAGGTCTTGCTGAGTGGTGGTAGAGAAGAGGTTGGATGTGTAGAAAGTATGGTCATTGTTGTCATTTCTTTTCCCTTTCCTTTGGCTTCTTGTCGCTGGGATTTCCTCTTTAGCTGCCTAATGAAAGTTTTTGTTTTGTCTTTCTGAGTCTTGATACATTTCAAGAAGTCTTCTATCTCATTTATTTTTCCACCCAAATTTGGAATTTAGGAAGAGTCCATATAGCTATATTTAGATAATTTATCTCCCTGAAGACATTTTGGGATCATTTATAAATCTCTGTAAGCAATGCTCTGATGTCCCTTTATTTTGCTTAGAGACTGGGTCTTGCCGTGTTGTCTGGACTGGAGTGGCTCGATCGTAGCTCACAATACGCAGTACAATCAAACTCCTGGTCTCAAAGCGATCCTGCCACTCAGCCTCCACAGTAGCTAGGTCTGCAGGTGTGTGCCAGCACGCCTAGCTTTTTATTACTATTATTATTATTTCATTATGCTGCCCAGGCTGGTCTTCCAACTCCTGGCCTCAAGTGATCCTCCTGCCTTCTGCCTTCTGAAGAGCTGAGATTACAGCTGTAAGCCACCATGCTGGTCCCGATGTCATTTAAATACAAACAAGATACTATATTCCTTGTAGGAAGTGCTACATAAACATAATTTTTTTGAGCTAGGGTCTTGCCGTGTCACCCAGGCTGGAATGCAGTGGTATGATCACACTCACTGCAGCCTTGACCTCCAGGGCTTAAGCGATCCTCCCACCTCAGCCTTCCAAGTAGCTGGGACCTGAGGTGTGAGCCACCAAGCCCAGCGAATTTTTCAAATTTTTGGTAAAGATGGGTGTGTCATTGTGTTGCCCAGGCTGGTCTTGAACTCTTGGGCTCAAGTTACCCTCCTCCCAGGTCTCCCAAAAGTGCTGGGATTAAGCACCCGGCCCTAAAATTTCATTCACTTTCTTTGTTTGTCCACAAGGTGGTGTTGTTTCCCCACAAGGTGGTGCTGTTTCCCTTCTAATAACATGAGACAGCTCACTCAAGAACATCAAGAACACGACATTCTCTAAAAAATATCACAGTAGTTCCTTTTCCATAACTATTAAGTTTTCAAGGTGTTATCAGGTTTATCTCATAGAAAGAATGTGTAAAATTTTTCATGTACAAACATAATCTTTTAGCAATGAGTTAAAAAATTTGGCATTGTCTGAATGAAGATTTCCTTTTTCCTATAATTTTATTTATTATAATTATATTTTTAGTGATATCAATTGCTTTATAAAAACTCATTACCGAATGACTGTGAAATCGTCTGCTTTGAAGCACAGTGAAATCAGTCAGCATACTGGGTCTAACACGGTTCCTTCCATTTTAAGAAAGCTATTTACACTCCAATTTGCAAGTTGGACTTTACAAAAATTAAAACATTTATAAAATATACTAACTATGATTGTTTTAAAAAGTAATGGTTTTTTTATGGTAAGGAAATAAATTGAAGCTCTGTGTTGGAAAGTGCAGAAAACAAATCAGCATTCTTTATAAATAGATTTTACTGCTGGTTTAGAAATTACCTTATGTGCTTTATAGATGATGGAAAAATGAAATCAGCTGCAGTTAGCACTGTGCATGCGTCGTATTTGCTGTGTCACTTTTAGAAAGATTATGGAATATTGGCAGGTCAGGATTCTCAAAATGATCAGTTCTAAGAAGAGGCTAAATGAAAAAGAATTTAAAAGCAAGCCTAGTTGTTTAATATATACATGGATGAGTTAAGGGGAAATCCTGGACTGGGAGCTAGCAGATCTATGTTCTGACTTTTACTAAGTCATTGGCTGCTACAGCAGGCCGAGCAGACATAACTGCCAAGGCTGCCTGGGAGTTGGGTTGACTGGCAATTGGCACAGGGAGGGAGGGCAATTGCCAGAGTAATGGCCAAATATTCAGGGTTTCATGTTCAGTGAAGTAGGGCATGCATTTATATCCCAAAGGCAAAACTGACGCTAGAATCAGGCCTTCTGGCTGAATCTGAGTCCACAGTCTGATGGGTAGGATGAAGTAGTCTCAGAAATCCAAGCCAGCCAGAACCCATGAGGTGTGCTCTGCAGATATTGGCTGGCAAGCTGCATTAAGATGTTTCATTCCATTGAGCAAACATTCCTTGATTGATTAGGTTAGCATCCCACAGGAGCAGAGACAAATTCTTCAGAATTTGTCCATGAAGCTGTAGTCCCAGAGCTTATATTTCAAGGGCAGAAGGAGGAAACAGCATTTCAGGATGGTAGGTGATTACAGCTAAACCGAATTCTGAAAATAAAAGGAACCCTATGTCTTTGTCTGCTCAGGCTGCTGTTACAAACAACTGTAGACTGAGTGGCTTAAACAGCACATACTTGTTTCTCACAGTTCTGAGAAATCAAAGATTAAAATCTGGGCCAGCAGAGCCAGTGTCTGGTGAAGGCCTTCTTACTGGTTTGCAGGTGTTCTTGTTGTATCTTCACATGGCTGAGAGAAGAGGGCTCTAGTCTCCTTCTCTTCTTATTAGGATGCTAACCCCATCGTGGGAACTCCATCCTCATCAAAACCAAATTACTTCCCAAAGGTCCTCCTTCTAATGCCATTCTATTGTTAGAGTTTCAACATGTGCATTTGTTGATGCAAACATGCAGTCCACAGCATCTTATCTAATCAAATCAGTTGCCCCTTGAATAAAATTCTAGCTCCTATAACAAGACTTAAAATTATGACTTGGTTGTTGCCAAAACGGTCTATCTGGATTTGCTAGAAACCAAGCATATTTGAATATTTCCTCTAAAGATTTTCTCATTCCTACCCTATTATGTATATTTACAGAATTCTTAAATAATTATATACACAAGGCTTCTATTAGCTCTGACTAGAGCTTCTATTAGCTTTGACTATTGCAAGCAGCTTTATAGCACTGTAGGTAAAGCATGTGCTTTGAAATCATACAATAAAATTTATTACATGCTAAGCACTTTATATTCATTATTTAATTTTATCATCTTAATCACCTTCATTATTACCTCCATTAAACCCTATTTGTTGGCTACCTATATTATTCTGATTTTGCAAAACTAAATTTGAGAGCCTTTCCCAATGTCACATAAGTTAATAACTGGCATAGCTGGGGCTTGAATTAAAGTCTACCTGATTCCAAGATCTATTTACCATTGTTCTACAATATGTACTTTTTAGGTCCCTGAGAAGGCTAACAGCCTTTCTTTTGAAATCTGCCTTCTTCCTGGATAGCAGCTTTATTAATATGTGATTAGGGCACCATATTTCAGGCAACAAATTCTTTGAAATCTTTCATTTCCATAGTGAGATAAGGATCAGTTCTGTGGCATTGTCTGCCAGAAAACATCATTTGGAGACTATCTTGTACAAGAAGTAGAAGACACAGCTGGGGGCCTGTGGAGGACAGAAAGCTCACAGCTTCTGTCCATACCCCTTTCACTTCCTCCTCAAGGAGATGGACCTCTGTGGTTGGTCAAGCTTAAGGATCTTTTATGGGCCACAGCTAATGGTGAAATCTTCCTAACTGTAGGTGAAGATTTATGGGCAAGTTGGAGAGTTAAGGTAGCTTGTGGCTGCTCCTTTTAGAAGAAAGTCTGATCATTGCTCTCTTATTTGTGGAACCCCTATGCTTGGTAAGACATGCCTGAAGACCAATCCTGTGTCAGTAGACTTCATATCTACTCTCTTCTACCAATCACACAACTACAGACAAATAAGAAAAATAAAACAAAGCTCAGACACACTCCCCTGGCATGGAGGTCACTCTCTGGCTGGCTGCTTTTCTCTACCCTGGTGCCTCCTGGGTGTTCGGCTCTTTCTTAGACCAAATTGAGACATGGGTTTGGGATTAAAGAGAAGTAAGTGAGAGGGGTCTCTGGCCTGTTTTGGCATTAGACCAAGTAAATAACAGAGTTCTTCTGCCTTAAGCTCAGCTCTGTAGAGCTTTCTCTGTGTTTGGGGAAAATCTCCAGATAGTAATGAAGTGGTATTTTACTGTGCTTCATTTTCTGTACATATATCTCTTTCTTAGGTATCTTGTGGGGAGATTGGTTCCCTGGACAAATACCATCTTAATCACTTTCATTATTACCAATTTTATTTTATTTGCAGAATTAAAATTTAAATGGACATTCAGGAAACAAGTCTGGTGAGAGAATTATGTTATGAGGTAAATCTTTCAGCATCTGCCTTAGGGACATGGATTATTTTCCCCCTTGTTTTTCACCAAGCTCCAGGCTTGCAAAAGAATCGTGATGTGGTCTGAGGCAAACTTACTGATTGGCTAGTGGTAAGTTAAACCGTGGCCTGTAGGACCGCGGGGAACCATTGCCTGTCATCGGCCAGAATCCACTGTTTGGAGGTGTGCGCTGGGAAGGCCATTCATACTTACTGATACATGCTTTGTTCTTGGCACTGTGTTAAGTACTGGACACATGCAACAATTTGGAATATTGTTACATTCAACCCTCACAATAGTCTGATGTATATGTTATTAGTCCCGTATTGGAGACGAGTAAACAAGATTAGAGGAAGAGCAGCACACAGCTGGAACCACACAGGTGGCACTGGGATTGGAAGCAGTTCTGTCTCACCCTGGACCACCATTTCTATGCTGTGTCTCCACTAGAGGATCCTTTCTTTGGTTCTTCTAAGTCATTAGTCATCAATAATTTATCTCCAAACTGTAGGTTTCACAGGAGGAGATGCCACTTGAAGCTGCATGGCTAAAAATGGAGATGGAATGTGGAACATGGTGGGAAACACTGGGAGGGGTTTATTGATAAACTTCAAGTACTTTGTGGGGCTCTGAAAGGCTGTCTTCAAATTCTTTGTCCTACTACCTCTTTCATATTAGTTCAAATGTCATATGGGTATATCTTTTGGGTTAAATTAAGGAAAATCTCCATGATAAGTAAAAAACAAACAAAAAAACCCCAAAAGAATAGAAAGAGGTACTACGAAAAATCAACTCAGATTTCTCAGTTTTGTTAACTCAAAGAAGCCTTGGTCCAGTTGGAAGAAGACAGAATTGATTTTGACAATCTCTAGCAAACCCTTTAGCGTTCAATGCACTCTAGACCATGAGTATAAAGAAGTTCACTTAATGGGTTCACCAAATTAGTTAGTTTGTGTAGTTCAAAGGGAAACAGACACACAGGACTGTGAGGCTTTGACAGGGGTGAAAGGCAAGTGTGGGTCCAGTGAGCCCAGGCAGGCCATGAAGGGGCAGGGCAGGAGGAGGACGGTGCTGGGAGGCTAGGGAACTGGCCACCTCCGTGCTGGCTGAAGATCACAAAAATGAACACAGCTTTCTCCAAACGCTGCCCATGCCTGATGGAATTAAACAGAGCTCTGAGAAAGACAGCACCGGGGCCGAGGATGGGTCCTGAGCTGCCTACACTCATCAATATCTTGGCCAGTGGCTATGCCCTCAGGGGCAATTTGCCTAGCTTTCTTGATCCACACCAGAAAACTCGCTTTTGAAGTGGTTTGGAAAGCTCCAAAAGGGATGTGCTTCATGCTATTGGTATTGCTGCCAAAAAGAAAAGATTCTGCTTTTCATCAGCTGTTGATTTTTTCTCTGTGTATTTCTCTAGCATCTATTGCTGGTGGCCCTGGTTATGCTAACAAGCAGATAGTGTAGCTGCAGCAGCAGAACAGAAAAGACTCTCCTGGATTCTCAATTCCAGGCTGGCCTGGGAACAGGCTTAGGGATGTTTCGATGCTTGAATGCAGGCAGGCTGGAGATCTGTGGCAATTCTTTTGACATGAGGCTGGACATTCTTTATAGCTTCCCCAGACACAGAAATTGGCAGGGCTTGACAAAGAATCACTGGCAGGAAGTTCATTTTCTTTATTGCTACCTCCCCAGCCATAAAACTAAAAGCTTTTTACCTAAATCACGTTAGCCATCTCGTGGGAGTAGGAGATCATTTTCTTCAGAGTCTTTCCCAATTGGAGTCTAGTCCTAGGATGGTTTGAACAGTCCATTTGAATTTGAAGAGCTTTCTAATTGATGCTTCTCATCCCCTCTCCAACCAGTCCTATTTGGTGTCATCTGCCTTTCCCCTTCCTCCCTACCAAACCTCAGAGTCTTGAAACAAAAATCTTTGTATTGTAAACTTCATCATGCTAATTTCATCACTTCAAACGAACCTTCTCTTGTTTGAGTTTCCTCCAACTGTGTGACTTAGGGCTGTTGAACTCTTTCAAATACACAGGAAAATGGAAACCTCTTTTGGTGTCTAGTGATCGTATAATAA
The DNA here is from genome assembly GCF_000001405.40 of Homo sapiens. Lineage (NCBI taxonomy): Eukaryota > Metazoa > Chordata > Mammalia > Primates > Hominidae > Homo > Homo sapiens. The sequence continues at coordinate 236,327 of NT_187543.1, read as the reverse complement.
AACATTTTCAGATGCTAATCACGTGCTTTGTTAATGAATGAAAATCTAAGGATATTCTTATTTGAAAGGTTTAAAAATATAATAACTGTCATTATATCTAATTCTGTCTACATTTGTGGTGTGAAATGAGAAGTCAGGAGCCCTGCCATCTACACAGTGCATGGTTCTACCAGCCGTTTCTGTGTCACTTCAAGCAAATCACTTCTTTTCTGCCTTTTCTTTCTTTTTATGTAAAATGTGGATAACTGTCTGTCTCACTGAATTCACAGAGTGACTGTATCATGTACAACAAAATTTATTGAAAAGTGTAAAGCTCTATAATTAGGTAGAATGTTACCTGTCATTTATAAGCTTTTTAAATCCTGGGGCGGTGGAGGAAGTATTCTTCTTACTGTAAAAGGACATCCCTCTAATAATCTCCCTTCTTTTCCTGACTTTTCAGGGATTCTGTTCATTGCTTTTCCATTTGTCAACTGCATCTTCAATCTCTCTCCTCCTTGATGCCTTCTGTCAGCATTTAAATATAAATTTTTCATTTAAAAAAATCTTCTATCTTGGAGAAACCTTACCTTTGACTCTCTATGTCTTTCTAGCTATCAAGCCATCTCCTCCTTTCTTGGCAAATTTTCCTCAAGGATTTTCCACACTTACTGTCTCCTTTTGCTCCTTTTCCTTTCACTCTTTATTCAGGTCAGTTTGGCTTTCACTTTCACCAAGCCTGTTAAACTGCTTGTGCTAAGGTCACCATATAAGAGTGCTAGGGGCTTCCATCACAAGCTGCCACAGATTGAGTGGTTTATCTTCTCACAGCTCTGAAGACTGGAAATCCAGGATGGAATGTCAGCAGGTTTGCCTTCTTCTGAGAACTGCTGCCTTGCAGACGGCTCCCTTCCTGCTGTGTCCTCAGGCTGTGTTGCCTGTGTCTCAATCTCTTTTTAGATGGACACCTGCCATATTGGTTTAGGGTCCACCCATACGGCTTCATTTGACCTCACTTACCTCTTTGAAGGCCTTCTCTAAATCAGTCCCCTCTGAGGCAGTGGGGATCAGCTCTTCAACATAGGAATCTTGGGGGACACAATTCAGTGCCCCCAGAATTGGTGATTCATAAACATCATGAACACTATTCCTCTTTCTCCCTTTCTTTCTCTTTCTTTCTTTCTTTCTTTCTTTTTCTTTCTCTTTCTTTCTTTCTTTCTTTCTTTCTTTTCTTTTCTTTCTTTCTTTCCTTTCTTTCTTTTCTTTCTTTCTCTTTCTTTCCTTCCTTCCTTCTTTCCTTTCTCTTTCTTTCTTTCTTTCTCTCTCTTTCTTTCTCTCTCTTCCCCCTTCCTTCCTTCCTTTCTTCCTTCCTTCCTTCCCTCCCTTTCATTTATTTTCCTTTCCTTTCCTTTCTTTCCTTTCCTTTCCTCGCTCTCCCTTCCTTCTTTCCTTCCCTTTCCTCACTCTCCCTTCCTTCTTTCCTTCCCTTCCCTTTCCTTTCCTTTCCTCGCTCTCCCTTCCTTCTTTCTTTCCTTCCTTCCTTTCTTCCTTCCTTCTTTCCTTCCTTCCATCCTTCCTTCCTTCCTTCTCCTTCTCCCTTCCTGCCTTCTATTTATTTACTTTTGTTTATATAAAATTTACGGGATACAGGTGCAGTTTTGTTCCGTGCATAGTGGTCAGTTCAAAGCTATTAGGGTATCCATCACCCAAGTAACATATATTGTACATATTATGTAATATATAAGTCCAATGGCGTCTCAGAAACATTCAGTAGAGTAGACCCCTGATCTCTTCCTCTAGCTTGAACTATTTTCTTATCAGCTCCTGCCTCTTTGCCCAAACTTTAAATGTTGAAGTTCCTAAATCCTGGGTCCTCTTCTGTTCTTATTCCATACTAAGCTTGTCCAACCTGTGGCCTGTGGGCCACGTGTGGCCCAGGACAGCTTTGAATGCAGCCCAACACAAATTTGTAAACATTCGTCAAGCATTATAGATTTTTTTATGTTTTTTTTTTTAGCTCATCAGCTATTGTTAATGTTAGTATATTTTATGTGTGGCCCAAGACAATTCTTCTTCCAGTGCAGCCCAGGGAAGCCAAAAGATTGGACGCCCGTGCCTACACAGACTCTAGACAAGGTTTTATTAATTCCTATGGCTTTAGATACTGTTTATATGCATATGGCTCCTACAGAGCTCTCCTCCCAAGCTCCAAAACATTATGTGCACCTGCCATCTTGAAATCTCCACTGGGATTTTCATAGGCATTCCTAAAATCAGAATTCAAAACTCTTGAGTTCTGCCCCCAAATCTATGCCACTTCCTCAATCATTTCCCTTTTGTTAGTTTATTTCTTCTTCAGCCTTACCATTCTTCGTAAAAATTATCTCCATTTACCCATTTGCTTCTTCCAGAAAGCATCATCATCCTTGATGCTTTCTTCTTCCTGCCACCCCCCTACCATCACAACTTGCAACCAAGTCCTGTTATTTCACCTTCAAAATATGTGCTAAAATTATCCACTTCTGTCATCCGCATGTTTCACCTGGTCTGCAAACATATACTCCTCTTTCCAACTTTTTGCCTCTCCAATACCTTCTCTATGGCACACCCAGAGAGGTTCATCAAAAATTTCAATTAGATCATGTCTCTCCTTCATTTAAAAATCTTTAATGATTTTCTACCCATGAAGTAATTCTGCTAGACCACAAGCTCTAAAGATGCAAGGAGTAGGTTTGCCTTATTTGTTTCTGTTTATGCAGAGCCTAGCCTTGCATTTAGTAGGAACTTAACACATTGACCTAGATCTTGTCCACCTTCTCAGCCTCACCTCTCATGGCAGCACTCATAGACCTCAGTCCAGTTACTCTTTTCTCAGATCCCTGAGCTGGCCTGGTCCAGGGCTGCCTGGGCCGTGATGCGTTCACTCCTGCTTTGTTGGCTGGTATCTGCTTATATTCTTGCTACTGTAACTGATGTCCAAGGCAGTCACATAGGCATCCCTGGGAGCTTGCTAGAGCTCAGGCACCACCCTAGATCCAATGAATCAGAATCTGCATGTTGACAAGGTCCCCAGGTGGTTCCTATGCACATTCAAGTTTACGGTGCTTTGCTCTAGATCCCAGCCTGAGGGTTAGTTCTTTAAAGAGACCTTTCCCAACTGGCCAAATCGTATTAGGTCATGTGTTGGATTCACCCACACAGTCTGTGATACAGAAGGGAAAAGGAGTTGAGGCCTATTGATCAGAAGCTGCTCACTTTAGAGTTTTACCTAAGGGTAATTATATCAAAATTCTGTATTTTGTAGAGAAGCATACAAACTATGTGAATAGTTTGAGCAAATTGAAAATTGCCAGTTTTGTTTGCTTTAACCAATATGTTTGCTTTCCCTCTGAAAATCCCTTGTTATGGGTCCTTAGTTTTAGTTTGCCACATTATGACACGATGGGAATAATGCACAGCAGTGATCCTCAGTTGGTTTGGGTTTTCAATACACAATTGATCCATGGTTGTGGCATGCATTGTAGAATGTCCAGCTAGAACACCTATTCTTTCAATTACTTTCATTACTTTCAATGGCAAAACCACAATTACTTTTGCACTAACCTGATAGTTTTGCTACGAGTCAATTGTTCAGGTGTTTTTTTGTTGTTGTTTGTTTTTATTTTTGCAAATACTTTAGATACTGCATAGTGGATGGATTAGTCTGTGGTTCCTGGGATCTTCTGTGTATTCTGTTGAAGCTCAATAATCACATTACTGCGGACCTCCAAAATTTTACAAAGGACTGCATAGTGAGTATTCAGCCGATAAACTAAACCATAGCTTATTACTGTGAGATGAAAGAAAGCACACCAATTAAAAGTAAACACTGTTTAAACTTATCTCAATGCATTTCTAAAGTGTCATACATTTATTATATTCTCTACTTGTAAATATTTTGTTGTGTGTATTGCCAAATATGTCAGGATTTTATGGGTATAATGTATTCTATTAATTTAACTGGAAAACTTGTAGTTATTCAACAAGCAAACAAAGTGTTGGCAGAGATGTAATTTTAAAGCACAATCCCACACACTCCTTGAGTATTACAGCTGCTCCCTGTTTATTTAATAATAGAACTGATGAGTAGTTAATTTGAGAGGAAAGCTGGTGCAGGTGTAGTGCTATTTAGATGTCATGGAGGACACATGTGACCTCTGCAGCTAGCTATATGGTAAAAGCAAAACAGAAGTTAAAATCAGCCCTATGTCAAATCTGCATAGTTTTAGGCTTCAGGGAGTTTCTCTGTATGTTGAGGCAGGAAGTTTAGTAGAATTCCAAGGGAATAAGAGAGGAACCAACATTTGTAAATTTTGCCTTCTATGGGGGAACTCATTCAATCATCAGGAGGACTCTTCGATAGGTTTTATTTGCTCTGGTTTACCTAGATGAAAAATTGAGACCCAGAATCCATGCTTTTCTTTGCTGGTTACACATTAGAATCACCAATGTGACATTAAAACACACACACACACACACACACACACACACACACACACCTGCACACCCATTAAGATGGCTGCTATCAAAAAAGAAAAAACAAAAAAATCAGGGGCTGGGCATGCTGGTTCACACCTGTAATCCCAGCCCTTTGGGAGGCCTAGGCAGGTGGATCACCTGAGGTCGGGAGTTTGACAGCAACCTGGCCAACATGGTGAAACCTCATCTGTACCAAAAAACAAAACAAAACAAAACACACACACACACAATTAGTCGGGCATGGTGGCACACATGTGTAATCCCAGCTAATTGAGAGGCTGAGGCACGAGAATCGCTTGAACCTGGGAGGCACAGGTTGCAGTGAGCCGAGATCACGCCACTGCACTCCAGCCTGCAGACAGAAGGAGATTTGGCCTCAAAACAAAGCAAAAACACCCAGAAAATAACAAGTGCTGACAAGGATGTGGAAAAATTGTAACTCTTGTGCATTGAGGGTGGGTATGAAAAATAGTACATCAGCTGTGGAAAACATATGGTTCCTCAAAAATTTAGACATAGAATTACCATATGATTCAGTAATCCCACTCATATCTGTAAATCTCTATATCTGTATCTATATCTACCTATACCTATCTTCAAAAGAATGGAAAGCAGTTACTCAAATAGATACTTGTACACCTGTGTTCTCTCCGTACCCTTTTTTTTTTTAATAGATGGGGTCTCACTATGTTTCCTAGGCCGGAGTGCAGGGGCTGTTTATAGGCATGATCCCCTGCTGCGGGGCTGTCCACGGGCGCGAGCCCCGCCCCCCCGCCCCGCGCTGCAGGCCTGTCCACGGGCACGAGCCCCCTGCTGCGGGGCTGTCCACGGGTGCGACAACCCCGCCTCCCCCCCACCCCCTCTGCAGGGCTGTCCACGGGCGCGACCCCCCTGTTGGCCGGTTCGCCACTCCTTAGGCAACCTGGTAGTCCCCTATCCCGGGAGGTCACTGTACTAATGTCTAATTTCATGCAGACATCTGATCAACACAGCACACTGCAGCCCAGAACTCCTGGGCTCAAGGGATCTTCCTGCCTCAGAAGCCTGAGTAGCAGGAACTACAGGCGCATGCCACCACACCTGGCTGCTACACCTGTGTTCATTGCAGCATCACAGCAGCCTTATTTACAGCAACCACAAGGTGGAAACAACCTAAAAAGTCTATTGAGGGATAGATGGATAAACAAAATGTGGTATAGACATAAAATGGAATATTAGTGATCTTTGAAAAGGGAGGAAATTCTGATACTTGCTACCACATAGATAAAACTTAAAAACATTATGCTAAGTGAGACATCAGACACAGACTACGTGATTCCATCTATATGAAGAACCTGGAACAGGCAAATTAACAGAGACAGAAAGTAGAATAGAGGTTTTCAGGGCTGGCAGGAGGTTAGTGTCTAATGGGCACAGAGTTCCTGTCTGGGATGATAGAATGTTCTGGAAATGGATAGTGGTGATGATTGCACAGCATTGTGAATGTAGCTAACGACATTGAATTCTTTACCAGAAAACAAAACAAAAACAGAAACACATTGCTTAGGCTTCCCAGTTGGACAGGTGACGTGCTTGGTGCAAGCTGGGGCCTGAGTCCAGGCTGCCCTTGCCAGAGCTGCTTCAAGATCCCTCTTGATTGTCCTTAGGCCTGATTGCTCTGGAGAGCCCCATACATGAAAGCCAGCTCTTGTTCTATCTCTTCTCACTCCAGTCCTCTCTGCCCCCACCGTCCCCCAGCTGGGCATTATGAGAAAAGCAAGATGACTATGAGTATTGTGATTATTTATATGAACAAATAATCTCAAGGACTATTGCTAACTAACCCATGGGACTCCCACTACCTTCATGAGGTTTGGACGAGGTGAAGGATCCCTAAAATCCTGCCACCTAGTCAGGAACTCAGTTGTCAATAATTTCTTTATTTGTGATACAAGCAGGGGTGGGGAAAGAGAAATGAACAGACTTGGAAGCTTCTCCGAGGCCTTAGAGAAGACCTCTGGGCTCCAAACACCAGATGCCGGGAGCAAGGAGGGTAGTTGATGACTCCCCACTCTTTCTCCAGCCCCTGCTCCTCTGTTTCTCCCCTTCACCCACTGCAGCTTCCTTAGGTCATGGGTCCTGTGCCGCCATCTCTTTGAATCACGTCCCTTCTATCCCCGTTAATAAAGGAGCATCAGCTAAGTGAACATGGTGATTCACATTCACTTACATTGATTCAGAAATTGTGTTTAGTTCCACACAAGAAAAAGAATGTGGATCTTTTTCACTGGGGAAAAAAAAAGTCGCTACGTATCATCTTAATCATGTTTTCCAGGGATATAATCAATACATGACGCCTATTTAAGCCTTCATTGCATCTGTGCACGTGGTTTGCTTTCCTCTCATGTGAAATAGCGTTGGACCACATGGGTTTGGGTCACAGCCCAGGAAGACACAATCCTGAACGTCATAATCCCAAATGTTGAAGTCCCAAAAGATCTAAATCTGTACAGTCTAAAATCCTGAAAATTACAATCCTCAAAAAACAAAATTCTGAAAATACAATTCTGGAAAAAAATTATTAACACATTCTTTAAAAAGCATTTATTGGGCAGGACGTGGTGGCTCACACCTTTAATCCCAGCACTTTTGGAGGCCAAAGCGGGTGGATCAAAAAGTCAGGAGATCGAGACCATCCTGGCCAACACGGTGAAACCCCATCTTTACTAAAAATACAAAAAATTAGCCAGGCATCGTGATGGGTGCCTGTAGTCCCAGCTACTTGGGAGGCTGAGGCAGGAGATTCACTTGAACCCAGGAGGTGGAGGTTACAGTGAGCTGAGATCGCACCACTGCACTCCAGCCTGGGTGACACAGTGAGACTCTGTCTAAAAACAACAAAAAAGCATTTATTTATATTTTTAAGATGGAATTTATTTGATAAACGTATAAAAACACAACAGAACACTTCCTAGGCTACTTTACACAATCAATAGGCAATAATAACATACATATATTTGCAAGCATAAAACTCAGGTATGCTAAAGAGCGTCTTATGGGTATAACAGTAATGAGCAGATGAGTTGTACTCGTAAAGAAATGGGTCAAAAAGCAAAATGTATAAAAGCATGGTTGGTAACTGGGTGCACTCAGCTTTATAACTTAGGTCATCTGGAATACTGTGACAGACAACCTAAGTCTTTTGACCAGATTCATCAAAAGCTGGGATGGGTCACCATCTAATATGCAGTCAAAGAGCTGAGATCTTGAGAAATTTTCTCTTTCCCAAATACAAATGTGCAAAAAGGATATCTTCTCATTTATTGAGGAAGCTTTAATGTTTTTATGTACAGGTACAATGCTTACACACAAAGTCAGTGTTGTGATAATGCACTCTTGTGGAGTCAAATTTGCAAAAATAAAAGCATAAAACAAATTAGAACTCTCTAAAAGTCTTTGCAAAATTTATACCTCCAGTATTGGAAATGATACTAAGATGAAATACATAGCATACCAAGTTGTAAAAAATGCTGACAATTTAAAATAGTGGAAAAAATGGAAAAAGAAACAACTAAAACGAAAATTGACATATAAAAAGTATATTACATGGATAGATTATGGGCAATTGCAGAGTTCATAATAGCTGGCTGACTCTCATTATCATTAACTGTATTTTGAAGTCTTTCATCATGATGCCTTTTTTGTTTTTAGGATTTGACTCTCCTCATAAAATATGTTCACATTCATTTTCTATGTGGCACTGCTCTTTTTGAAATTCTATAATTTGATACACACTGACATGAGCATTTCCTATTATATTTTCCAATCTTCTATGCCATTCTTGTCTATTGTTTTGAGTATGTGGAAATCCATTTTGCAGGCCCTCATATACAGGCCACTCATTTGGCAGAAACAATACTCTTGATTGAACAGCAACACCGTTGCCTGAATGACTTCTTATCCCACCTTGCACATCATTATTTTCAAACTAGTATGTAATTTTTCTGGCTTCTTCAGGCAATTGTGGTTTTAATTTATCAAAAGCTCCTGGAGTTTTATCAGGTGGAAGGAATGCCAATACAGACAAATGGCACATTTTAAAACTAAAATTTTCATCATTGCCATATGGCCTGGCCAATCCACTCACCTGAATTTTCTGGCAAATGAACTGGGCTGAATGGAAGATACAAACTTTACTGGTAACAACTTGCAATTCACTTTTAGAAGCCTTGATCACACCTAATTAAAAACTTGTCATTATAATTTGGGGATCTGATTGAAATCTATTTTCTTCTGCAAAGCCCTCCAAATCTTCAAATAAGCTTTTATAAAGTACTTCACTTTTTCCAGTTATTAAACCATAAACATGAAGATTAAATTATAGAATTTTGTAATTCATTGGGGGCATAAACTGTATAAAGTTGATTATAAAAACCCACTGGGGACAGTTTTGAAAGTGCCATTCATCAGCCAAAGTGAAAAATGCACCAGTTTTGTTATGTTAGACTTAGTGGTAAATAAATATGTTTATCTTTTTTGACAGTCAAATCCCTAATCAAGAATAGTTCATGATTTAATATGTCTTGTAGCACTGGAGGAAGCTCTGTGCCAGCAGGTGTCTGGTTCAGAAGGCCACTGAATTTGTTGAACTCTTTTTATTATCTGACAAAAGGCATTTTGTGAAGACAAGCATGGTGCTACGTGTAGAGGTGCTTGGTACATGATTACATAATTTGGCAGACAAGATTTTGTGCATTTTTTACTTTCATTTTCACTTCTGTGATATTCAAGACATTCAAAACATTGACAGCAGATCTTCCCCACCTAGTCCGCTCAGACCCACACACTGATCTCTTCTGAGAAAACCATCACAGACATACCCAAAATAATACTTTCCCAGCTTTCCAGGGATTCCTTAATCCAGTCAAGTTGACACCTGAAATTAAGTCTGCAAGTCCACCCCTTGTAGATTTGGCACCCATATGGACCCCCTTAAACCATACATAATTTCCAAATAAGAAGAAAACAAAGCAAGAGTTGTACCTAACATGATGCAACTAACGTGGTACAACTCTCCTGTGATTGTGATTTTCTGGATTTTAGATGTTAAGAATTTAGACTTTAGGACTGGGCATGGTAGCTCATGTCTGTATTCCCAACACTTTGGCAGGCCAAGTCAGGAGGGTCACTTGAGCCCAGGAGTTTGAAATCAGCCAGGGCAATAAAGTGAGACCCCATGATATGGTTTGGCTGTGTCCCCAACCAAATCTCATCTTGAATTGTAGTTCCCATAATCCTCACATATCATGATGGGGACCCAGTGGGAGGTAATTGAATCATGGAGGCAGTTACCCCCATGCTGTTCTCATGATAGTGAGTGAGTTCTCACAAGATCTGATGGTTTTATGAGGAGCTTTTCCCCCTTTGCTTGCACTTCTCCTTCCTGCCGCCTTGTGAAGAAGGTGACTTGCTTCTCCTTTGCATTCTGCCATGCTTGTAAGTTTCCTGAGGCCTCCCCAGCCATGATGAACTGTGAGTCAGTTAAACCTCTTTCCTTTATAAATTACCCAGCTTGGGTATGTCTTTATTAGCAGCATGAGAATGGACTGATACAGTAAATTGGCACTGAGGTAGTGGGGTGTTGCTATAAGGATACCTAAAAATGTGGAAGTGAATTTGGAACTGGGTAACAGGCAGAGTTTGAACAGTTTGGAGGGTTTGAAAGAAGACAGAAAAATGTGAGGAAGTTTGGAACTTCCTAGAGCCTTGCAGATTGGTTTTGAGGAAAATGCTGATAGTGACATGGACAATGAAGTCCAGGCTGAGGTGGTCTCATATGGAGATGAAGAACTTTTTGGGAACTGTAGTAAAGGTGACTCTTACTATGCAAAGAGACTGACGGCATTTTGCCCCTGCCCTAGAAGTCTGTGGAACTATGAACTTGAGATAGATGATTTAGGGTATCTGGCAGAAGAAATTCCTAAGTAGCAAAGTGTTCAAGAGGAAGCAGAGCATAAAGGTTTAAAAAATTTTGCAGCTTGATGATGAGACAGAAAAGGAAAACCCATTTTCTGGAGAGAAATTCAAGCCAGCTGTAGAAATTTGCATAAGTAACGAGGAGCTGAATGTTAATCACCAAGACAATGGGAAAATGTCTTCAGGGTATGTCAGAGACCTTCACAGTAGCTCAAGGCATCACAGGACAGGAGGCCTAGGAGGAAAAAATGGTTTCATGGGCCCGGTGCAGGGCCTTGCTGCTCTGTGCAGTCTCAGGACTTGGTGCCGTGTGTCCCAATCATGGCTAAAGGGCCAATGTACAACTCAGGCCATGGCTTCAGAGGGTACAAGCCCCAAGCCTTGGCAGCTTACACGAGGTGTTGGGCCTGTGGGTGCACAGAAGTCAAGAATTGAGGTTTGAGAATCTACGCCTAAATTTCAGAGGATGCATGGAAATGCCTGGGTGTTCAGGCACAAATTTGTGACGGGGACAGAGCCCTCATGGGGAACCTCTGCTAGGGCAATGTGTGCAGAAGGGAAATGTGGGCCCCCACACCATCCCCACTGGGGCACTGCCTAGTGGAGCTGAGAGAAGACGGCCACCATCCTCCAGACTCCAGAATGGTTGATCCACTGACAGCTTGCACCGTATGCCTGGAAAAGCCACAGACACTCAGCACCAGCCTGTGAAAGCAGCCAGGAGAAGGGCTGTACCCTGCAAATCAACAGGCACCCCTGTTGCCCAAGGCCATGAGAGCCCAACTCTTGCTTCGGCGTGACCTGGATGTGAGACATGAAGTCAAAGGAAATCATTTCAGAGCTTCAAGATTTGACTGACCCATTGAATTTTGGACTTGCATGGGGCCTGCAGTCCCTTCATTTTGGGCCAATTTCTCCCATCTGGAACAGGTGTATTTACCCAATGCCTATACCCTCATTGTATCTATGAAGTAACTAACTTGATTTTGATTTTACAGGCTCATAGGCAGAAGGGCCTTGCCTTGTCTAAGATAAGAATTTGGACTTGGACATTTGGGTTAATGCTGGAATGAGCTAAGACTTTGGGGGACTGTTAGAAAGGCATGATCATGTTTTAAAATGTAAGGACATGAGATTTGGAAGGGGCTGGGGGCAGAATGATATGGTTTGGCTGTGTTGCCAACCAAATCTCACCTTGAATTTTAGTTTCCATAATCCCTACATGTTGTGGGAGGAACCCAGTCGGAGGTAATTGAATCAGGGGGGTGGTTACCCCCATGCTGTTCTCATGACAGTGAGCAATACCTGAAGGTTTTACAAGGGGCTTTTCCCCTTTTGCTCAGCACCTCCTGCTGCCTTGTGAAAAAGTGCCTTGCTTCTTGTTTGCATTCACCATGATTGTAAGTTTTCTGAAGCCTTCCCAGCCATGCCAAACTGTGAGTCAATTAAACCTCTTTCTTTTATAAATTACCCAGGCTCATGTATGTCTTTATTGGGAGCACAAGAATGAACTAATTCACTCCATCTCTACTAAAAAGAAATGAATTTAGACCTTAGGAATTTTGATCTTTCAGGATTTCAACATTCAGGGTTATGGTGTTTGTGACTGGGTCTTCTGGGATTATGATCCTCACCTGGACTAAACAGCCTTGCAGCTCTCTTCAAACTATGATCCTATTCTCCCACTGCCTCCTGAGTTCAGCCTCTTTCTTCAACTTGGCTAAGCCTGCCTTTCCTTTCCTATCTGTCTGCTTTCTTCCCTCTGATTAATCCAAAGTAAAATTTGACTTTTTTTTTCACTCCAACAACTCCAGCTTCTATCACATATCTCCTTTCATGAAGCTGGCCCCTGATAATGTTTCCGTTGACAACAGTATAATATAGACAAGATTGCATATAGTTAAAGTACGTATTTTATTTATTTGGTGGCAGCATTCTGATAAGGAATTAAAACTATTTCTTTTAAAATCATAATTTAATCACCAGGCAGAGCAAGTAAAGAGAAATACATTCCAGAATCTCACATCTGTCAAAAGTAAATGCTGATTTTTATTGAGGACTTCCTTATTTCTGTTGCTAGTTGACTCTCATACAGCTTGTCCCCAACAGAATCTAGTGTGGAATTGGCAAATGGGATGTCATACATGCAGTGCTCTACTGGAGCTGATAATTAAGTACCCAGGAATTTTATGAAGTGTTTGTCAAACCATCAGTAGAAATATTTACACAATGGAAATCAGCAAATGCTACAAATCTGGGCTTCTCCCCACCCAACCAATAAGTTTACTAGCATACCACTTTTATTCGTCTTGTAAACATTCAGAATTTCTATAAATATTCATAGACTCTCCTATACTGAGTGTCTCAGAATAACTTGAAGTTCTTACAGTAGCCAGTGAGGCTGAGTGTGAGTTGACCCACCCCAGTCCCTCTCTCTGACTTGTCTCCTGTTAGCCTTCTGACTCCCAGTGTTCTCTACTTCATGCACCTGGGCTAGGTGTGCACCCTGCTGTTTGCCTGCCTTTTCTTCCTCGAGTGCTCTTCCCCAGATATCTGCATAGCTGGTGCCCTCGCCTCCTTGGAATCTTTGTTCAAATGTTGTCTTCTCAGTGAGACCTTCTATATGTTTTCTATGACTGCAGGAATAAATTAACACACCTCTAGTAGGCTAAGAGAACACACACTCTCTCTAGGGGAGAGAGACCACTTTCTTACCTTCTGCAGCTTTGAGAGGATGCCTGCATCCCTTGGCTCCTGGCCCCCTTCCAGGCAGCCACCACGTCATTCTGACCCTAGCTGTCACGCCTCTTGCCTCGGACTCTCCTGCCTCCCTCTTTTGCTTTTAAGTACTCTTGTGATGACATTGAGCCAACCTGGGTAATCCAGAATAATCTCCTCATCTCATGATCCATAACTTCATCACATCCACAAGTCCTTTTTGCCATATAGGGATATGGACATGTAGAAAGGCCATTCTTCTGCCTATTACTCCCTCCTTGAGCATTCTAACTACCTTCACATCTACCCACTCCCAGCATTCCTGAGCTCCCTTCCATGCTTAATTTTTCTCTGTACCACTTATTACCTTCTGGCATATTCTATATTTTACATATTTATTTTATTAATGATCTGTCTTTTCTCACTGGAATGTAATTTGCCTGAGGGTAAATATTTTTGTTTTATATCATTGCCATATTTTCATTATGTAGAACAGTGCCTTGCTCTTAGCAAGGATTCAAGAAATATATATGTTTTGGCTGAATAAATTAGGTTGAGAAGTTTGGGGGAAAATCCTGGCACGATACAGAAGACAGTTCCCAGTGATGGGAAAGGGCCATGTGGTGGGGCCTCTACAGGAAGCCGGGATGCTCCAGAGGCCCCCCAAGGCAGAGATGCTTTGCTCACATTTAACTCTTTGCCCAAGCTCTGATTTCTAATGTTTTCTTTCATATTTGTTTTTGCTCTGCCTTTTTTTTAATTAATTTTTTTTATAGAGATGAGGTTTTACTATATTTCTCAGGCTGGTATCAAACTCATGAGCTCAAGCAATTTTCCCACCTTGGCCTCCCAAAGCGTTATTACTACAGGTGCAAGCCACCATGCCCGGCCTGCTTTTCTCTTTCTTTGAAATATACTCACAATGTTTATATTGGTTTCTAACTACAGATCATGAACTCCTGAAGCAAAGTAACCACTTTGTTCTTCGTTATTTCTTTCACTCTTCTACTCTGCACGGTGCCAGATATTGGATATGTAGGTGCCAAACATTTGCTTTTCTAATTTCTTACATTTTATTTCTTAAAGATCAGCCTAACCATGTTGTAAGAGGGATGATTTCCTTCCTTTGTTTTGAAAATTTGTGCATGCCCAATGCTTACATTGAGCAGTTCAATGTCACTACAGCTTTTTTTTTTTTTCTATTTTTGCCAGACTTTCAAAACTCTTAAAACTCGTTTGTGGTCAGCACAACAAGGAACACACTTTAGCTTTGAAAAAAACTTTAACATGAAAAAATGCACTGACATTGTTTTTAATGTAACATAGGCTAGAATTTACCTATGTTTGCACATGCTGAGAATTGTCCCACCAGGCTGACGTGTTCACCTCTTCAGCTTGGATCCTGTTGTGGATTTTTTTACAAACATCAATTGCCTTCAAGCCATCCTTTCTGCTGTATGTTTTGCAGCCTTCTATAGTAGATACGCAACAGATAATGTGGAGAAAAAAGACACAAGAGGAGGAAGGTAATGAGAGACTTTGTCAAGGTTGTAACCTTCTTGGTTTCTTTGAAGAATTTGTTGCCTTTCTACTATGACAGCAAAGCAGCATTTTGTTACTGACCACCTAAAACCACTTAATCTCAGGTGAATGCATCACTTGCTATTGGAACGCTATTTGTGTTTTGTTGCACAATTTTTTGGTTGTTTATTTGGTTGGCTTTTTGGAAGGTAAATTTGGAAAGGGGACCTACACAGAAGTGCTGACCCACCCACATTCCCTTATTATCATTACAGACAAGAAGAAACTAGCAGAGCTAAGAATGGAGTGAAGAAAGGCAGTGTGATAAGCACCAGCAAAGAGTTGAGGGCTGTTGCTCTCTAAAATTATTATTTGATTATTTTAAAAATATGGACGTTTTCTAGTCACTGAAGAAAGGAGGGGAAAGTGCACTTATTTTTATATAGAGTTACTTAACTACCTCCTAAACACATACATGAAAATTGTTTTTGCTGGTGCAAAGTATTTTAATTAGCAAGAATTCATATATTGAGATTATAATTAGAGAGCTCAATTTATATATTTGCTATCCTGCTCAAGCCTGACATGGCAAAAAAAAAAAAAAAAACCATATAGCTTCAAAATAACAAATACTGGAAAGTTTGCTGTGATAACTATTTTGTACTTTTGTACAAAAAACCTAAAGAACAAATTACCTAAAGAACAATTTGCTAAACATGAGAAATCGCTCCCTTTGAGTATATACAGGTAAGATAGGAAGAGCTATCAGACCAGTAAATTATAGTTTATATTGAAGATAATATTCAATTGACTCATAACAAATAACGAGCATTCATGATAACATTTCAGCATTTCCAAGGTGCCAAGTGTACTGATTTTTTAAAATATATTTTAGAAGGAATTTAGATCTGGTGTTTTTAATGAAAACCAGCATCTCTGATGTTGCAATATGTATGTGAAATGGGTGTTACATCTATCCTGCCCTTTAACCCCACCGTTAACAAAGTGGCTGAAAATAACAGTAAGAAAAAATCAGTCTAAGGGAGAAAAGGACTAATGCTCTCAATTCTCTCTCTCTCTCTCTGTGTGTGTGTGTGTGTGTGTGTGTGCATGTGTGTGTGTGTGTGTTAAGGAGGATGGCAGGAGGCAGTCTTAACTCTTGAAAGAAACCTTCTTTGTATAGGAAGCATATTTTGGTTTAGGTACAATGATAAGAAAGTTTAATTATACAGTCCATAAGACCAGATACCTTCAGATTTTTCCCTGCGGGGATTTCTATGACTGGTATTCTGACTAGTGTGAAATGATAGGTTTGTATGTCTATATCTACACCCATCAAAGCCTCAGAGCTTCCTGCACTGCTATAACTTTTCTGTTAACTCTGGGTAAATTAGGAGGCTGGTACAAGGAATAATTTTAACTTCAGATTTTACAGTTTGTTTATGTTAAGGGCAGAAAGATCTACTTTTCAATGGTCTGTATTTTAAGATAGATATTGACTTTTCCTGGTGCTATTTTATGATTATGGAGAAAATAGAATTCTTATTAGAAATCTCAACTCCGAATTGAGAATAGATGTTTTGATACTTGTCCTGCTGTGGCCTGAGACTTGGAATCATGAAATAAAAGAGATCTTGCTGTTTATCTACAGATTAGAACACACAAATAAACAACAGTGTAACATCCTCATTAGCATTCTGGTAGTTACATTTACTTATTCCAGAGCAAAATTAATATATGATAAGAAGTAGAATATTTTCTGTGGATATCTAGGGTATTATGACAACAACCTTCCTTAGAAAAGAAACAGTGTGTTATGAGGACAGTGGATGCTACAACATTACTTGCCTTCAAGGCATTGCAAACAACTGGAATCAATTGAATAACCTTCTCAAGCACAAGCCAACAGTGAAATGAAAGTCATTTATCTGAAACAGCAGGCAAGAGCTTCATTGGTACACTTGGAAGGTGGCTCACTAACCCTGCCGAAGCTTTGCTCCATCTGATCAGGGCATAAATGTTTCATTGGCCCAATAACCAAGGTGTTTGGGTTTCACAGTGTTTTCTCTCCGACAGCTAATACGGGGAGCATTGCTGACATTCTGCCATGGTTGCCCAGGCTGAAATCAAACGTGCTTCGAATAATACTATAAACACTTTGAAATGAATCTTTGCCGTAGGAACCAATGTTCAACTGTGGGCTCTATTCAAAGACACTTAAGGTGGGAGGGAGCAAACTTTTCAAGTTGGTTTTAGGTAACAGAAACAGACGTCTTTATTGGATTTGCCTGGAAAAAAAGTAAGGAAAATCCCACCATTGTCTGTTCTGGGTCAAGAAGTATAAGGCTCAGTCCCGTTTTATTTCTCTCCTTCTCCTTTGGATCCTTTTTCTTATTCTTGACTCTATACATGGAGAAAAAGTTCAAGTGCCTCTAAAGCAGTAATGCTGGGAACTTGCCAACTTATTCCCATGATGCTACTGTTGCTTATAAAGCATTTTGAGGACTCTTGTATTCAGAGCTAGTGATAAGCTGTAAGAGGAAGTCAGTCTTGGTGTACAGCTGCGTTTTGGGCTCATGTATAGAAGAGCTAACATGGATTTCAGAGTCTCCCAGGTGTTTAAAATCCAAGCTCTGCTCTCAGGACCTGCGAAGGCTTAGATAAGTTGCTCAATCTCTTTGAGCCTCAGTTTTCTGAGTACAATGGCACATACCTTACAGGACTGTGGTGTGGATGAATTGCGATGATGTGTATGAATCCAGCTCAGAGTCTTCTTTCCTTCCTTCTTTCTTCCCTGCCACTGAATTTCCACCAAGCTATACTTCTCAGGTCTGACTCCTGAGAGGCTAGACACACAGTGAAGCTTGATGCTTGCTAGAAACTGAGGGGCTAGGCTTGAGTGTTAGGGAACCTGGGAATGACATCGGTCATCCATCCGGGAAGGCCGAGGAGGAAAGCGAGGCAGGGCAGCAGAGTGGGAAGTGGTAACCATGGAGGCCACCTTTGGGCTGGAGCCTGCTCAAGGCACTTTAGTGCTGAGCCATTTGGGGCCCAAGGTAGGGGCAGACAGCAGAGAAGGACGGCAGTTATCGCCTAGTCACAGGGGCAGATGGAAGAGAAGGATGGCAGTTATCGCCTAGTCACAGGGGCAGATATTAGAGAAGGACGGCAGTTATCGCCTAGTCACAGGGGCAGATGGAAGAGAAGGACGGCAGTTATCGCCTAGTCACAGGGGCAGATGGAAGAGAAGGACGGCAGTTATCGCCTAGTCACAGGGGCAGATATTAGAGAAGGACGGCAGTTATCGCCTGGTCACAGGGGCAGATATTAGAGAAGGACGGCAGTTACCGCCTAGTCACAGGGGCAGATAGAAGAGAAGGACGGCAGTTATCGCCTAGTCAGGAGTTTAACAATCTCTATTTCCTTTCAAACCTCGTTTCATCCCTTCCTTCCCAGTGAAATTCACAGGCAATTAAACTTCCTCCTGCATCTCGGAGCAGGCCCCTGCATCATCATTTCTCCTCTGCAAGTGTATCTTCTTCGGGCACGTGGGAAGGTCTTAGTTCACCTGGGTATTTAGGGACTTGATCCTCTTTCCTCTTTATTGTCAATGTTGTGGCTTGCCGAGGTCATGACAGAGTCTGGTTATGACATGTTAGCAATCGTCACCTCCCATTTTTGAGTAAATATACTTTTATGCAGTTTGAGCTCCCATTCGTGTCATTTATTAATTTGTTCATTTGTTAACACATTCATTTGTGGAGCATTTGGCCTAGAAAAGAGAAGAAACCCTTCCTTAGCAGTAAGGGAGAAGAGAAAACAAAACGCACAGAGATACATGCTTGGTTTTGTATAACTTTTGACAGTTTCTAAAATAAAATAAGGTCTAACTTGGAAAACCAAAACCTATCACTGAGATATTTTCATAATCTAAAAAGTCAGTTTCAAAAGAACTTCCAAAATGTTTTAAAAAATGACTATCCTTTAGAACAATGATGTAGCATTCCAAGGTTTTAGTGTTCAACCAGCATTTATTACCGCCTGCTGGGTGCCTGAGGCAGGACAATTGTAATGAGAGCCACAAACATGATTTGAAAAACCGCTGCCCATAGGTCCACAGTTCCTGTCAAAGCATAGAGCCCCCTGTAGACAGAGCCCCCTGTATAAGGTGCCCTGTGTTCTGGGTGAGAGACTACGCTTGGTCCGCAGGTATATCTGGTGGGCAGAACAGGAAAGGTGTCACTGAGGAGGTGCTATGTGAGTTAGTTGTGAAAAATGAGTACGGGTTTATGAGGCAGATATGAGAGGCACTTTGTTGAAGTTACAACTCCTACCAGGCGCTCGTTTGAATTTTCTGTGTCATTTGCTCTTTGGAGGTTGCTTGTTGGTACACTTACATTTTCTATGCCCAGCTAAAAAGAGAGGAGTGAGTGTGTGTGTGTGTGTTTGTGTGTGTGTGTTTGGTATTTTTCTCAGAGTTTCTTTGTGTTTCCAAGCTTACTTTAGAGCTGAAGCTTGTCAGAGTTTTCATAACAAACGCGTGATTGAACTAAATTCCAACCGGCCGCCTCTGGCGTTGGAGCCTTACGGCACCTCAGTGCATTGAAGGGGTGTGCTCTACCCTCTACCTTCGTGATTTATTTAAAGACCAAATCGTAATGAATAACAATTCTTAGGTTTAAACCTATAGCAGGGGTAGGAAATAGTTCAAACCTTCTGACTTACATGAACAAATGCAATCTTCAAAAACTGTTTTCTAATCTGCGTGAATGTACTGAACTCGTTGCCGCCTTCATTTAAATGTGATGTATCAAAAGTGCTTTGTAAACTGTTAAATTCCAACGTTGATATTGTCATAGATATACTTTATTAAATACTGGATAATGATTTCATAAAGTACAGGGTTTTTAACTGTGAAATTATTCTGAAATATGTAGAAAAAATTTGAAATACTCTTCCCATTTTGAACACAATGATTGTTTTTAAAATTCCCTTGATTTATATGTTTGTATACTGTGGATTCTCAACTGAGTGAATTACTGTCTTTGCAATGTAGTAAGATTTTGATATCGTTTTTAATCTATCAAGGAAAGGGCTAGATAAGTAGCATCTCATTTGTCTCACATCCCATTATTTGAAAGATGATTTCAGACCATAGGAAATACTGACTCTCCTTTTCCTTTTTTTTTCAGGATACATTATAGCCACTTATTTGCCCATCTTTGCCTCAGTGGATTTTAAGGAGAGGCCCCAAGGCTTATACATGTTTAGACCCCAATCCCTGGAGTAATCACTTAGTATTTTTTTAATGAGCAAATAAACAAATTAATAAATAAAAGAATAAATGGGTGAATGTATGTGGATATACCTCCAAACATCCACATGTATGTCATGTATGTAAATTATATACTAAGAAAATCTCAAAATTGAATTATATAAATTTTAATGGACAGTTTGACTTTAGTCTTATTATTTTCTTTTTTTTATTATTATTATACTTTAAGTTTTAGGGTACATGTGCACAACGTGCAGGTTTGTTACATATGTATACATGTGCCATGTTGGTGTGCTGCACCCATTAACTGGTCATTTAGCATTAGGTATATCTCCTAATGCTATCCTCCCCCCTCCCCCCACCCCACAACAGTCCCCGGAGTGTGATGTTCCCTTTCCTGTGTCCATGTGTTCTCATTGTTCAATTCCCACCTATGAGTGAGAACATGCAGTGTTTGGTTTTTTGTCCTTGTGATAGTTTGCTGAGAATGATAGTTTCCAGCTTCATCCATGTCCCTACAAAGGACATCAACTCATCCTTTTTTATGGCTGCATAGTATTTCATGGTGTATATGTGCCACATTTTCTTAATCCAGTCTATCATTGTTGGACATTTGGGTTGGTTCCAGGTCTTTGCTATTGTGAATAGTGCCGCAATAAACATACGTGTGCATGTGTCTTTATAGCAGCATGATTTATAATCCTTTGGGTATATACCCAGTAATGGGATGGCTGAGTAAAATGGTATTTCTAGTTCTAGATCCCTTAGGAATTGCCACACTGACTTCCACAATGGTTGAACTAGTTTACAGTCCCACCAACAGTGTAAAAGTGTTCCTCTTTCTCCACATCCTCTCCAGCACCTGTTGTTTCCTGACTTTTTAATGATCACCATTCTAACTGGTGTGAGATGGTATCTCACTGTGGTTTTGATTTGCATTTCTCTGATGGCCAGTGATGATGAGGATTTTTTCATGTGTTTTTTGGCTGCATAAATGTCTTCTTTTCAGAAGTATCTGTTCATATCCTTTGCCCACTTTTTGATGGGGTTGTTTGTTTTTTTCTTGTAAATTTGTTTGAGTTCATTGTAGATTCTGGATATTAGCCCTTTGTCAGATGAGTAGGTTGCAAAAATTTTCTCCCATTCTGTAGGTTGCCTGTTCACTCTGATGGTGGTTTCTTTTGCTGTGCAGAAGCTCTTTAGTTTAATTAGATCCCATTTGTCAATTTTGTCTTTTCTTGCCATTGCTTTTGGTGTTTTAGACATGAAGTCCTTGTCCATGCCTATGTCCTGAATGGTATTGCCTAGGTTTTCTTCTAGGGTTTTTATGGTTTTAGGTCTAACATGTAAGTCTTTAATCCATCTTGAATTAATTTTTGTGTAAGGTGTAAGGAAGGGATCCAGTTTCAGCTTTCTACATATGGCTAGCCAGTTTTCCCAGCACCATTTATTAAATAGGGAATCCTTTCCCCATTTCTTGTTTTTGTCAGTTTGTGAAAGATCAGATAGTTGTAGATATGCGGCATTATTTCTGAGGGCTCTGTTCTGTTCCATTGGTCTATATCTCTGTTTTGGTACCAGTACCATGCTGTTTTGCTTACTGTAGCCTTGTAGTATAGTTTGACGTCAGGTAGCATGATGCCTCCAGCTTTGTTCTTTTGGCTTAGGATTGACTTGGCAATGCGGGCTCTTTTTTGGTTCCATATGAACTTTAAAGTAGTTTTTTCCAATTCTGTGAAGAAAATCATTGGTAGCTTGATGGGGATGGCATTGAATCTATAATTTACCTTGGGTAGTGTGGCCATTTTCACGATATTGATTCTTCCTACCCATGCTGACTCACCTTTTCTAAAAAGACAACTGATTTTCTTATGCTTTTAAGTTCAAATGTATCTTGTCTCCTTTTGATTAATTAAAACAACACGTTATCAAAAACTTTAACAGAAAATATTCTTATTATTTATTGAATCAGAAGAGAAACAGGAAATACTGTGCTTTCTTGGGCCTGTTTCCTATACCCCAACATCATAAGAATTGTTGTTGCTTCTATAATGTTCAGCTTCAAATTATTTTGCTTGATCAATCAAAATGAATTACCTGAATTTTCTCCTCCGTTCAAAAAGGAACTGCATTCACCTACCTACCCCCAGCCCTAGGACTGTTTCTTTTATTCCAATAGTTTGTGATATCCTTGACTTCACAGCAGAAAGCTGTGAGTCTCCCAAACCCCTTCAGTCAGGTCCCGTGGAGGCTGCCTTCTAAAGTCTCTTCGGTCTTCTTTCTTTGAATGTTCATGGCCACCTTGTTGGTTAGACTCTTATCCCTGACTGTAAGAGATCCCTCAGGTCTTCCTGCCTGTGGCCATGCCTAATTTGTAACCTTCCTAAAATGTGATGTGATCATGTCACTGCCTTGCTTAGAAGCCCTGCACTGGCTTCCAACACATGCAGAATCAAGTGCTTGCTGTTTAACATGGTCTACCCAGTCCTCCAGATTCTGGCTTCCAGTTATTTTCTCAGCCTCAAAAAAGCACCTCACTCTCAAACATATCAAATAGCTTGAGCCCTCCTGCCTCCTGTTCATACCACCATTCCTTCCCCTCTACCTGGATGCTCCTCCCTTCAGCCGCCCCTCCAGCTGTAAGCTCCCATGGATTGACTGGTTCTTGAGTGTTTTATTGCACTTTGGACCTCCCGTCTCTCACTCCTGGCTTCTGTCTGTCTACTTGTCTTGACCCGCCACTTGCACTGCCTCTGGCTTATCTGCCTAATTCTGGTTGACAGTGTTATTTGTTAGCTTCATATCTACTGGCTCTCTCAATTATTTCTCAGCCTCCCCACACCAGGCTCCTTGCCCTGTATTTATAAGCTGCTATTGGCTTGAGGGTGACTGTGACTTTCTAATAAAACTATTTTATAGACTGATAGTTACAAGGGTATAGTAGAAAAGAAATGAATCTACCTTTGAGTGTATTTCAACATATCTAGTGATCCATAAATATTTTCTTCTTATTATTATCATTATTGTTATTTTTAAATAGACAATCAGGGAAGGCAGAGTCTAGGCCACCAATCTGAACTTAGGCATTCATCTTTATTAAGATATTTGGGATCTCTGCAAGTATTCTGAATTTTAAATGGCATTCAGTGATTCGATAAAATAGGAATTTTGTTTTACTCTGAACTGAGTAGAGTTTCAGCAACTGGCTGGCTACTGTGTCATTATTTCTATAAGTTCAAAATGTAAAAGGAACATTTACCTTTTAACAAGGGAGTATCCCGGGTCTCAGTTCTCAACCGTTTTTCTAGGTGCACTCATGCCTCTGTGATCTCATGAAGCCCAATGGCATTAAATTCCATGTGTGTGTGCACGGTCCATGAATACATATTTCCAGCTCCTACCTCTCCTCTAAAATTTAGACTCATATCTAATTATCTGCCAGTTATCACCACTTGGAAGACTAATAGACAACTATCACACATCCATAAGGGAATTCTTGATCCTCCACCTTCAACCCCTGGGCCCAACACTCCTCAGTCTTCTCCGTCTCAGTAAATAGCACCTCCAGCATACCAGCCGTTAGGCCAGAAAACTTGCCCTGACCCTTCTTTGTTTCTTG
Source organism: Homo sapiens (assembly GCF_000001405.40). NCBI lineage: Eukaryota > Metazoa > Chordata > Mammalia > Primates > Hominidae > Homo > Homo sapiens. The sequence continues at coordinate 212,742 of NT_187543.1, read as the reverse complement.
CACTTCATATCAGCATACACTGTTGAACTGTATTCAGAATCTGAGCTTCCCTTGCCACACCCATTGTGTACACCCTGCTTCACTTTACGTCATTGCTTTCATGGATTATCAAAATAGCCTCCTAACTCCTCTCCCACTTTCTCTTTCTCCCTGCACTTTGTTCTTCACTGAGCAACCAGAGTAAGTATTTATTTTTGTTTTTTGAGACAGAGTCTCCTCTGTCACCCAGGCTGGAGTGCAGTGGTGCAATCTGGGCTCACTACAACCTCTACCTCCTGGGTTCAAGCGATTCTCCTGCCTCAGCCTCCCAAGTAGCTGGGACTACAGGCATGCATCACCAAGCCTGGCTAATTTTTGTATTTTTAATAGAGACGGGGTTTTGCCATGTTGGCCAGGCTGGTCTCGAACCCCTGACCTCAGGTGATCCAGAGTAAGTCTTTTTAAAGCATAAGGCAAATAATATTTTCATCTGCTTAAAACCTTCCATGGCTAGGAATGTCTTAAACCATCTTGTCCCCTGACACTTCTCTGATCTCTAGTCCCATCAGTCTCCCCTCTATTATTGCAATCTTCAAAGACACCAGGCAGATGTGCTTCTGCCTCAGGGCCTTTGCATGTGTGGTCCCCTTTGCCTGGAATGCTTTCTCATCAGGAATCAGCATGGCTTACTTCCTCTCTTATCCAGGCCTTTGCTTAATTATTAATTATTACTCTGTCATAAGAAGAATCTTTTCTGACCATTTCACTTAAAATGGCACCTTCTTACTCTCTATTCTCTTATTTTACTTTATTCTTCTTTAAAGCACTTCTTATCATCTGACCTATCTTGTATACACATTTTCAAATTTCTTCACTGGTTGCTCCCACTTTGCCCTATGCAAGCTCCATGAGAGCAGAGACTGTTTTGTTAATTGCTGAATCTCTATCTCTTAAAATAGTTCTTGGCATAAGTAGGCATGCAGGTTAGTATTGCATGCATGAATGAGGACAATAACAGGCCCAAATTCTTCTGGAAAGTTTTTCCTCAGTCTTGAGGCTAGTTTACTCTCATCAGGTTTCTGGGTTTCTTGACCATTAACGACTCACTGTATCTCTGTCCTATTTACAGACACACGTTGGAAATATTGTGAGTTCGGTTCCAGACTACACTGCAATAAAGTGAGCCACACATATTTTTTGGTTTTGCAATGCATGAAAGTCATGTGAACACTATATTGTAGTCTATTAAGAGTACAATTTCAATATGTCTGAAAATACCAATGTACATGCCTTAATTTAAAATAATTTATTGATAAAAATGCTATTGATCATCTGAGCCTTCAGCAAGTTGTAATCTTTTTGATGATGGGGGTCCTGCCTCTATGTTGATTGCTGCCAACAGATCAGGGTGGTGGGCACTGAAGGTTGGAGTGCCTGTGACAATTTCTTTTTTTTTTTTTTTTTGAGATGGAGTCTCAGTCTGTTTCCCAGGCTGGAGTGCAGTGGCAGGATCTCGGCTCACTGAAACCTCTGCCTCCAGGGTTCAAGTGATTTCTCTTGCCTCAGCCTTCCAAGTAGCTGGGATTATAGGCACCCAACACCATGCCTGGCTAATTTTTGTATTTCTAGTAGAGACGGGGTTTCACCATGTCAGCCAGGTTGGTCTCAAACTCCTGACCTCAGGTGATCCACCAGCCTCAGCCTCCTAAAGTTGTGGAATTACAGGCATCAGAAATGGCGCCTGGCCAGCAATTTCTTAAAATAAGACGACAGTGAAGTGTGCTACATCAATTGACCCTTCCTTTGATGAAAAATTTCTCTGTGGCATGTGATGCTGTTTAATAGCATTTTACCCACAGTGAAACTTCTTTCAGAATTAGAGTCCATCCTCTCAAAGCCTGCTGCTTCTTGATCAACTAAGTTTATTGAATATTCCAAGTCCTTTATTGCTGTTTCAACAATGTTCATAGTATCTTCACCAGGAGGAGATTTCATCCCTCCCAAAAAAAAAACACCACTTTTCTTTTTGCTCATCCATAAAAAGCAAGTCCTCATTTCATCAAGTTTGATCATGAGATGCAGGAATTCAGTCACATCTTCAGGCTCCACTTCTAATTCTAGTTCTTTTGCTCTTGCTCTTTCTACCACATCTGCAGTTATTTCTTCCACTGAAGTCTTGAATTCCTTAAAGTTATCCATGACAATTTTAATCAACTTCTTACAAACTCCTGTCAATGTTGATATTTTGCCCCCCTCCCATGAATCATGAATGTTCTCAATGGCATCTAGAATGGTGAATACCTTCCATAAGGTTTTTAGTTTACTTTGCCCAAATCCATCAGAGGAATTATATGACAGCGATAACCCTATGAAATGTATTTCTTAAAGAATAAGACTTGGAAGTTGAAATTACTCCTTCATCCCTGAGCTTCAGAATGATCTTGTATTAGCAGGCATGGAAACAAAGTTGATTTCCTTGTATATCCCCATCAGAGCTCTTAGGTGTCATGGAGTACTAATATTTTGAAAGAAAACTTTTTCTCTGAGCAGTAGGTATCAACAGTGAGCTTAAAATATTGAGTAAACCATAGTATAAATAGACGTGCTGTCATTCAGGCTTTGTTGTTCCATTTGTAGAGCACAGGCAGAGTAGGTTTAGCGTAAGTTTTAAGGGCCCTGGAATTTTCAGAATGGTAAGGGCACATTGGCTTTAACTGAAAGTTGCCAGATGCATTAACCCGTCATGAGACTCAGCCTGTCCTTTGAAATTTTGAAGCCAGGCATTGACTTCTTCTCTCTAACTGTGAAAGTCCTAGATGACATGTACCTCCAGTAGAGAAGGCTGTTTTATCTACACTGAAAGTCTATTGTGTAGTGTGGCTACCTTCATCAGTGATCTCAGCTAGATCTTCTGGGTAACTTGCTGCAGCTTCTCCATCACACTTCTTGCTTCACCTTGCACTGTTATGCTATGAAGAGCACTTCTTTCCTTAAACCTCATGAACCAATCTCTGCTAGCTTCAAACTTTTCTTCTGCAGCGTCCACACTTCTCTCAGCCTTTAAGGAACCGAAGAGAGTCAGGGCCTTCCTCTGAATTAGGATTTGGCATAAAGGAATGTTCTGGCTGGTTGGGCCTTCTATCCAGACCATTAAACTCCACATACCAACAGTAATGCTGTTTCACTTTCTTAGCATGGTGTGCTCACTGGATTAACATCCTTCAAGAACTTTGCCTTTGCATTCACAGTTTGGCTGTTTCATCCAAGAGGCCTAGCTTTCAGCCCGTCTCATGTTTTGACATGCCTTCCTCACTAAGCTTAATCATTTCTAGCGTTAGATTTTAAGTGAGAAATGCATGAGACTCTTCCTTTTACACGAACAGTTATAGGCCACTGTAGGATTATTATTTGGCTTGTAGGATTATTAATTGGCCTAATTTTCATATTGTTGAGTCTCAGAAAATAGGGAGGCCCAAGGAGAGGAAGAGAGATGGGAAAACAGCGGGTTGGTGAGGCAGTCAGAGTCCATACAGTATGTATCAATTAAGTATGCCATCGTACATGGTTGCAGCTCATGGTGCCCCAGAACATAGCAGTAACGTCAAAGGTCACTGATCACGGAGCACCATAACAAGTATACTAATACATTTTGAAATATTGCTAGAATTACCAAAATGTGACACAGACACAAAGTGAGGCTATGGCATTTGAAAATGGCACCAAAGCTTCTGGTTAGCTGAACACGTGGAGGTTCGTAGAGGAGGGTAGTGTCCAGGGAGGTGAGGAAGTGCCATGCCACATCCCCCATACCGTGCCTTATGTGTCTTTTCACCTGTATCTGTTGTAGCATCTTTTGTGATAAGCTGGTAAACGTGTTTCTCTGAGTTCTATGAGCTGTTCCAGCAAATTAATCAAACTCAATGCGGGGATCATGGGAACTTCAACCTGAAGCCAGTCAGTCAGATGTTCTGGAAGCCCAGACTTGCAACTCGTGTCTGGGAGTCTGGGGAGAATCTTGGGTACTGAGCCCCCAATCTATGGGACCTGATGCTATCTCAGGGTAGACAGTGTCAGAACTGAATTCGAGGACACCAAACTTGTGTCTGCGCTTGATGCATGGGGAAAAGACCCCCATACATTTGGTCATAGAAGTCTTCTTCTGTGCTGATGATTTTTGTGGTGTGAGAGTAGAGGGAAAAAAAACAAGGTTTGAGAGAGTTTTTCCCTACATAATTGTCAGTGAAGTGGGATTTGCTTAAATGGCCCTGACTGATGGAAGCATGTGCTTTGAAAAGAGAAAGGATTAAAGGGTGGGAGGATGAAGAATCTTCGATTCCCAGGTGGCCACGTGGTCACTCATGGTATGAAGCTGCAGCTATGTTGAGATCAGTTACTAAAGGTAAAAGTTATCAGCCGAATTTAGAGATGGATCCAACCTCCCAGGAATTAGTTCACTGGATGCATAAGGAAATGCAAACTAACAAGAAAAAAGCAAAAGATTCAGTCCCTTGGTTATTGTTATCTATAATGGCTAAAATGAAAGTTAAAGACGGTGCTGGGTAAGGCCTTGAGGCTGGAATAAACTCAGATGTGGGTCTGTCTCAACTCAGGCCACCAGCCTCAAAGCCACCCAGAAAGGGGAACATTAAGCCTGGACACCAGAAAGTACCTTCAGAACTGTGGTCACCAAGAAGGCAGTGAATGTGGGAGAAGGGAAAATCCAACTACTGTTGAAACCAGAGGGTGTCCTGTGAAGGAACTGCTCCATTTTGAACATTGATATCATTAACTTCTCGAGGAACTTTTACTAAAACAGATCGAGAGTGACTAATTTAGGAGCAGCGTCTCTGGTTTTAAATGCTGCAGAGTGGAAGAGTTGTTTGGGCTGGTGCAGGACCCACACTCACTATTGAACAACCACAGATGGGTATATGTGATCCAGACACACAGGAGGTTATTCATGCAGGAACAGCCAGACGAGTGGACTAGAGAAAAGCCACAGGAAGGTCTGTTTTCCGTGATAAGCAGATGGTCCAACTCCACCTATAAATGCCAAGCAGAGCACCCTAGATGACCCAGCTGATATGCTTTGTATGTTGGGGCACCCCAGATGACCCAGCTGATATGCTTTGTGTGTCGGAGCACCCCAGATGACCCAGCCGATATGCTTTGTATGTGAGCCGTGTGGGGCTGACTTTATGATGACTGGGATATTCCCCAGCTGAATAGGCCTGTTACCCAGGTCATGATAAATGCTGTGAGTAAAGGGGCTCCTTCTACATGGGCACCCTTTGTGATATTACTCCTACAGAATCCAACAACAACTCCAAAAGCCTTAACAAATTTGCTATCTCAGCTTCCCCTGTAATCTCAACGATTTGGGAGGCTGAGACAGGTGGATCACTTGAGGCCAGGAGTTGGAGACCAGCCTGGCCAAGATGGTGACACACTGTCTCTACTGAAAATACAAAAATTAGCCAGGTGTGGTGGTGCATGCCTATAGTCCCAGCTACTCAGGAGGCTGAGGCAGGAAAATCTCTTGAACCCAGGAGACGGAGGCTACAGTGAGCTGAGATCGTGCCATTGCACTCCAGCCTGGGCAACAGAATGAGACTGTCTCAAAAAAAGAAAAAAAATATGCAATTTACTCCTCTACAAAGTCAGTAATAAAGACGGGGAAAATAAGTTCAAAAGTAATCCCTCTGTTACAGCATTAGAGACTCTCCTTCATCCCCAAATGTAATATGCTATTACTTAACCTTACCTTTTGTTTTCTTTTATTTAGTTAGTTGAATCCCTTTCACCATGTTCATGGTAAAAGAAACGTGGCTCAATTTTGTGAGTTGAATTAGACAAGTCCCTGATTTTTCCTGTTTGTTAAATTTAGGATACTTTCTTTTATGAATTAGCATTATCTTAATCAAAAGAGCTTAATGAGATTCACTTGGCATGACTGGTAAGGTAATTATGTTTCAGAATTTACTGAAAAAGAAAAGTTCTTTTATTTGTTATGCTTTCAAGGAGTAGAAAACAGCAGTTGAAAATTGATACTGAAAAGGGTCAAAGTATGTTGGGGCATGGTTGAGCTCCTTTGAAACAGACTGGTGGGAAAGAAGTTTGTGTAAAGTTCAGCCTGTGTCTGCAGCTGAGCCTCTGAATGAGACACACACTACAGAAAGAACACACGGGCTGTGGCCATTCAGCAACTGAGCACCTATCCCAGGCACTGCGACTGCAAGGATGAGTAAGATACACACTCCCTACTCTGCAGACGTGTTATGCTGGGGTCCCAGGCACTGCGACTGCAGATGAGTAAGATACACACAGTCCCTACTCTGCAGATGTGTTATGCTGGGGTCCCAGGCACTGTGACTGCAAATGAGTAAGATACACACAGTCCCTACTCTGCAGATGTGTTATGCTGGGGTCCCAGGCACTGCGACTACAAGGGTGAGTAAGATACACACGGTCTCTACTCTGCAGACGTGGTATGCTGGGGTCCCAGGCACTGCAACTTCAAGGATGAGTAAGATACACACAGTCTCTACTCTGCAGACGTGGTATGCTGGGGTTAGCACAAAGTGGAAATGCAGGATTTTCTCATTTCAATACAGGATGATCAAAGCTCATACGCAGGAGGTTCAGGGTGCTGTAGGAGCACATTGGGGGAGCACCTAAACTCTTTAGAACTAACTGATGATGAATACAGCTTATATTTGGAACTGTTGGTAGGAACGGTATAAAAAAGTTGGGTAAATGAGAATAGTGTACTAGTTTATTTATGTTAGTTAGCACAGAGTAATAATGTAGATGATTTAGTTAGCATAAAAAATAATTTTTAAGGCCAAAGAAGAAAGACACATGAGAAGTTTTTAGTTTCACTGTTGAAAATACACATTGCACACTATATAAGTCTCATAAAAAACATAAGAACATGTGTAAATGCAACGCATATGAAGCTGTAGAAAGAATAATGTTGCATATTATTCACTTATTACTCTTTTTTTTTTTTTAAATGACACAGAGTCTCGCTCTGTCGCCCAGGCTGGGGTGCAATGGCGCAATCTTGGCTCACTGCAACCTCCGCCTCCTGGGTGCAAGTGATTCTCCTGCCTCAGCCTCCCTAACAGCTGGGACTACAGGCACCCTCCACCACGCCCAGCTAATTTTTGTAATTTTAGTAGAGACAGCGTTTCACCATGTTGGCCAGGCTGGTCTCAAACTCCTGACCTCAAGTGATCCACTCGCCTTGGCCTCCCAGAGTGCCAGGATTACAGGCGAGAGCCACCGTGCCTGGCCTCACTTATTACTCTTGACAGCACAATTATAGGTACTTAGTAGACATTTAGTTACTTAGTTGTTAGAATTCAAGGAGATTCTGAGGGGTATAATTAGTTGAAACTGCAATTCAGCAATGACTGTATCAGAAGACCATTTTCAATGAACTTACTTCTAATGACTGAGATGGAGGAGCTGTACCAGGGTTGCATCCCAAGTGAGGTCCACATCAGAGAATCTGGGGCGGGACCATCCAGCCACTTCCCTTACAGGGAAATAGGTTTCTCTTTCTGGTGAACTTCCTGACAGGCCCTTTAGGCTGGTGCTTTTGGTAAATCCAAGGAATGGAGTCTATTTTGGAATCCTGAAATACTCAAAGATGGCTTTGTCTCCCAGGAAGGGCATCACAAGTGGCATTTGAGAAGAAGCAGATGCAGGCAGGTCACTCTCTGACCCCCCAGGAGCAGATCATAAGACCTCATTTGAGAGGAAGAGTCCTTATACCCAGAAGAAAGAAACATCCTTATCTCTGAAGACACAGGGACACAGAGAAGAATTTGAACACACAGGCCTTGCTAAGTTCCCCCAGTTTATCTCCATGAGAGCATACTCACTCTGTCCAATTGTACCAATACCTGAGTCCACTGTTCATCCAACCTAACTAAGCACTATGATACACAAGATTTCCTGTTTCTTTGGGTCATTTTCTTATGAAGACTCCTGTGCCACATAAAGCTTTTTAAATACATGTGTACACTTTTCTCTCAATCTGTACTTTGTTACAGGGGCATCGGCCATAGTCCTAGTGATGGGTGAGGAAAAGAAACCTTTCTTCCCCTACAAAGGAATAAAAAAAGAATTATTGGGTATATATATTCTCAACCCAAAGAGAGAATTCCATTCTATGTGTCTTATTTCCTCCCTATGTTTTATTATTCATGGACAGACCCTCTACTCTTGATCCATTTGATCAAAAAATCTGTGAAGACTGCATCCTGGACTGTGGCCCTAGAATGGAGTGTCTTGCAGCTGTGTGTGAAACTGGATACTTGTGGACTAGAGCTCCTGAGTGAGGAGAAGAATTAATGACCCCCGTGAAGCCATCCAGTGAGCTCTTAGGATGAGCTGATAAAGAATTTGGGAGGACTCTTGCTCTGGACTTTCTGGGACAATTTCCTTCTTCACAGCAGAGTCCAGGTCTTCTTGAGCCCTTTGCCATGGGAAAGCTGTGCCCTCCTATGTCTCCTCTGAGGCTGTCTTCCTCATGGGAAAGCTGTGCCCTCCTACGCCTCCTCTGAGGCTGTCTTCCTTATGAGAGAGCTGTGCCCTCCTATGTCTTCTCTGAGGCTCTCTTCCTCATGGGAGAGCTGTGCCCTCCTATGTCTTCTCTGAGGCTCTCTTCCTCATGGGAGAGCTGTGCCCTCTTATGTCTCCTCTGAGGCTGTCTTCCTCATGGGAGAGCTGTGCCCTCTTATGTCTTCTCTGAGGCTCTCTTCCTCATGGGAGAGCTGTGCCCTCCTATGTCTCCTCTGAGGCTGTCTTCCTCATGGGAGAGCTGTGCCCTCCTATGTCTCCTCGGAGGCTGTCTTCCTCATGAGAGAGCTGTGCCCTCCTATGTCTCCTCTGAGGCTGTCTTCCTCATGGGAGAGCTGTGCCCTCCTATATCTCCTCTGAGGCTGTCTACCTCATGAGAGAGCTGTGCCCTCCTATGTCTTCTCTGAGGCTGTCTTCCTCGTGGGAGAGCTGTGCTCTCCTATGTCTCCTCTGAGGCTGTCTACCTCATGAGAGAGCTGTGCCCTCCTATGTCTTCTCTGAGGCTGTCTTCCTCATGGGAGAGCTGTGCCCTCCTATGTCTCCTCTGAGGCTGTCTTCCTCATGGGAGAGCTGTGCCCTCCTATGTCTTCTCGGAGACTGTCTTCCTCATGGCTCAATTGCAGTTCTGCAGCCAAAAATCGGGGTATTTCCCAGCATTTTATATGTTGTGCCTGAGAATGAATCTGCACAATCTGGCTAAGCAGGAATTAACTGTTAGGCACACAGGGCCTTGTGAATTGCTAAAAGGCTCTCCTCTGGACAACACTCATTATGGGTTGTGATCAAGTTACAGAATGTTCACGTTGCTTTCTTAATCAGCCTTGTTTGTGACTATTGATATCTTTGATCAAGATTGCAAATTGATTTTAATTTTTGTGCTTATATATTAAGGAATTATCTCTTTGTTATTTCAAGTGAGCCGTTCATAACATTAATTTAGTCACCCATTCAGATCTACAGACTACAAAAATGAATATTATATAGATATAGACACTGCATTCATATAAAAAATTTCCCAATAGATATATCTGGGCTACAATTGTCATAAAACGAAGGCTCACTTTTAGTGAGCTCACTTTTAGAACAAGCAAAATCATATATATTATAGGTTAAGAAAGATAAAATAACGAAAGAAAAAGAGAATGGAAATAAACTGCAATTCTTATTTTCTTGTTCTTTATCACTAGGTTTTGCAGGATTCAGCTCCATGAGAAAGTTTTCCCCATTATTAGTCTCCTAGTAGGCTTTGTAATTAGGAAAAAAACTCAAAACTTCCCCTGCCCCTTGCTATGTTTTGGTTGTATAATCTTATTCTTGGATTTGGTCAACATAAATTTAAGGCTTATATTCAAATCAAGCTTGTAAAATAAAATATTTCTTCTTTCAAATTTGCCTCTGTAGTCTCCATCCCTCATCAGATGCCAAGAATAATTCAGATGGTGGATACAGGATTTGTTCTTTAAATAAGAAAGCAAGCCTTGTTTTCTTACCAATGAGTAGAAACTGGTGAAAGATGGGGCCCCTGCCTCACATTCTATCTTATGTTCCTGGGAGAGTCATGGTGCTGAGATATTATCTATCCTTCTCCCTGATTTCTCTAAAGATCCCTAGGCCTCCTATGTGCTGGAGAGTGAGAGAGGATTTAAAGTCTTTCTGAGAGTGACTCCTCACGTTACTGTGGTTTTCTGTTACTAATACAAGTGCTTACTTTCCCAGCATCTGTGACAGTTTTCTTTTTCTGTCTGTCTTTCTCTTCTCTAAGGTAATGAACACAAGGTAACTCCTCTTAAGAAACAGACAGTGAAACATAAGCCAAATATCGGATGGCTTACACTTCACTCCAAGGGTTCCGATTATTCATCCTCTGATTTCCCCTTGGCTTTTCTAAGAAAAGTGCAGCTTTATGTTTACTAAGACTAGAGAAATTCAGCTTTGCAGAAGGAACATAACATCTCAGTTGCTGTAGTCTTTGTTGTTAGTTATCATTTATAACCAGGAGCTTGAATTTTCTTTCCTGGACTTGACCATTGTAGAGTGCAGCAGGGTCTTCTCTGGTGCTGCAGGAGAAGGGATGGAGTCCTTCTCTCTGGGTTCTTTTGGCCCAAGAAGCCTTCCAAAATGGGAAATGTAGGCTCCGAGCAAAGGTGTTTTTGACTCTTTCGTTGGCTATTCTGTCCTGATGTGGGGAATAGTGCTTGGCACACAGTAGAACCTCAGGAAATATTTATAGAATTAATGAATGAATGAATCCTCCATGAAATAGGTTTATTGGATGGGTTTACTGGAGCTTGACCTCCAATGACCTTCACATGGGGAGACAGTGTTGCCAGTGAGTGCCATGGTTGCCTTTCTATTCCAGCTCTTTGTCCTGGGAAGAGTTTGCTGCATCTTCCAGTTTCAGTAATCAAAGAAGCAAAGTTCCCTGCAGTTCTTCAAGGAACCTTGAGAATTCAGAAGGTCTTGGGGTGGCTGCATCCATCCTGCAGACAAATGCCAATCAGCAGAGGGGCCATTCCCAGGGACACATGTCTGGCTGACTTGGGCCTTGGCCAGGTAAGACACACAGCATGCATGCCTGCATTTCTGAATGCCATAGACCTGACAAGTCATAAAATAGCAACCAATAATTTTATGTTAGAGTGCTCCCTTCCTCACAGAAATCTCAGCATATGTGAAGATAGGTTGGAATGTGTAAAGAAAAGCTAAGAAAGCAGATTTCTGATAAGAACAGCGTGTGACTTGTACAGCAGCTCTGAATTACAGCCCGTAGGATGGAATGCTGACAGTTCCTTCTTCCTTACCTGTGATGGCTAGAATTTTATTTAGCACATCGTTTTTGAGCCAATCTCAAAATGAGAAAACTTTTGAGGAATTATGCATAGTGTGAAGTATATTCTTTCCCTTGTTGCCCGTGGAGATTCCACTGTGACAGGGCAGATTTCCCACTGCAGGGTCGATGGAGATGCTGCTGCTGTCTTTGGACATAATAGTTTATGACAAAGAGACCAAAATAATTCCTGTTTAGCCATGCGGTTGTCTGTAAATCTGCTTAGTTGGTCATCCAAAGTGATGACATTTAAGATATAGTTGATACACTGTTTATCTTAAAGAAACATTTTAAAATTAATTCTTCAGACCTATGTAATATTTTATCTTTTCTGTTTAATAATATCCAAATGTGCTTTTGTGAAGCACAAAACACATGTGTATTTCTTCATAAATCAGTCAGATAGCTTTGAAAATATATTTCAAGTATGTAGCAAAGACCCTCAAAACACAATTATTGAAGCATTATAAAAAGGTGAATTTGCTTCAGTTTTGGACTTTTAATAGACTTCACTGTTATGTAGTAAAGATAGAAATATGCCATAAAAGTCTCTGGTTAAGAGCCAAGACTTTTTCTCCTGTATCATTTCAGATCCCGTCATTTCTACCTGATCTTTAGGATAGACTATGCACATTCAGAGTGTTGAGTAAAATTATTAGAAAATATAATACCCATAACATGGTTCTTTATACCCTTTAAGTAAATATGTTGGCACATGAATTCACAATTTAAAACGCTGACTTTGTAAGAAATTTGCATGTGTCTCCAGTGAAGATATTGTTGCCCTTGTGTTCTTTGTGCGTGATTTATGACAAAATTATGAGACCTTTACATTTGTGGAAATAAAACACGTAAAGTTATTTCAAATACACATCAAGTCCATCACTGTGTTCTGTCAATCTTATCTCTAAATATTTCTCAAGTTTCTTCATTGACTTTCATTTCTACTCCCACAACCAGAGTCCCAGATCACCATCATTCCTCACTCTCCGGACTCCTGGAATATAGTCCCATTCTCCATGCCTCCAAATAATTAAAGACACAGAAAAACACATTATGTAAAAAAAGTAGGAGTCCAAATTGAACATTCAAGTTGATTGTAATGAAAACTCACTAAAATGTTAACAGTCATAGAATTAGCCGTGATACCTATTTTGCTCTTTTATACTTTTTAACATTTTCTAAATGTTCTACAATAAGCATGAATTATTTTTTAAAATTTTATTAAGGTGCATTTTCATTTGGGTGCGGTGGCTCACACCTGTAATTCCAGCACTTTGGGAGGCCGAGGCAGGTGGATCACGAGGTCAGGAGATTGAGACCATCCTGGCAAACACGATGAAACCCCATGTCTACTAAATATACAAAAAATTAGCCCGGGGCAGTGGCGTGCACCTGTGGTCCCAGCAGGAGAATTCTCCAGGCAGGAGAATGGCGTGAACCCGGGAGGCGGAGCTTGCAGTGAGCCGAGATGGCACCACTGCACTCCAGCCTGGGCGACACAGCGAGACTCCGGCTCAAAAAAAAAAAACAAAGTGAAAGTGAAAACAGATACCAACTAAAATCTACTACTTAGAAATTCTGATTATTAAATTAGGTGAACGTCATGTCAGACATCTTATTGTTTCTCTCCGTGTATCTACTCACAGACAGGTGCGTGGACACACACATATGGAGAGGGTGAAGAACCGCTAGTCAGCGAGTTAGAGACAGGCAAAAAGTAAAATTTTATATGTACAAGATCAAACTATGCATCATCTTAAAAAGATTAAAATGTATTAGGTTAACAATTTGTACCTAAAAAGTTAAGCCTTATTTAAAATGCAGGGTGTCAGCTATTGAAATAAAAACATCACACGACCTCAACTTTTTACGTTGTGGACTTAGCCACCCTGCGCCCAGCTCTGTTCCAGTTCTTTCCTCTTGCCTTTGGCTTCTACCGCTCCATCGTAGGCCTGACTTCTAGAAGAAACACGGCTAACCTGCTAGGGCTTTAGGCCTGATCTGCCTTTCTTAGGAAGAGAGAGAGATGGAAAGAAAGAGATGGCTTCTTCTTAGCAGAAACATGTCAGCTGCCTTCTTCTCAATTTCCCTGGACAATATTTATGTTCACTCTCCCACCAGTGAGCAGGTAGATGCCTGCATGGGTAGCTCATTCTTACGAAAACGTTGAACTCCTTACGTAAAACATTTTGAATAAAAACAATTGATCAAAAAGAATAAGAAACATTTTGAATAAAAACAATTGATCAAAAAGAATAAAATATGCAGCTTTTCAAATTATACAGACCAGGTGAATTTAGTAGAGAATGAACAAAGTGGTTTACAATATAAAGATTTCTGAATTCAGTGGTCTGGGTGTTCACTGCCCCAAAGAAATGAAAACAGAAAACACTGAGAACCCGTTAATGGGACCATCAGCAGAGATTAGCTCTGTTTCCTTTTCACCTGTGACTTGGGCATCATAAGAATATCTCAGTACCACTGTCCTGGTCTGAAAGCCACTTTGTTTCACATGGCACTGTTGTGATGTCCACAAGAGCCAGTCTTTGCAGATCTTTGCTCTGCAAATTACTACCAAGTGTGACTCTGGGTACAGCCGTTAAGCACTGCACCCCAATCCCCTGTCTGTAATATGGAAATAATAAAATCTAACTCTGAGACATAATTTAAATTACGAGGGGGTACATTACAGTAGGTTATAAGCAAAGGTTCATTCTCTTTCCTGCCTCTTATCATCTAATCTAGTTTGTTTGGAAGAGAGAGGGAGCTTGTGTGTTTCAAATATGTCACTTATATATAATTTACTACTGAATTAAAGACTATGTCTAAAATTTTGTTTTTAAATTGATGATTTTGATCCACATATTTTGTATGATTTCTTTTAGAGTTGGATTTATTGTCATCATCTAGTTTTGTGCTTTACATTTTCCTCCTGTTACTATGTTGTCCTTTTCTTTCCTTTTTTCTTTCTTTTTCCCTTTCTTTCTTTCTCTCCTCCCTCTCTCCCTCCTTCCCTCTTTCTCCCTCTTTCTCTCCCTTCCTGCCTGCCTTCCTTCCTTCTTTCTTTCTCTGTTTCTCTCTTTCTTTCTCTCCTTTTTGACTGAATTTTGATTTTAAAATTATTTTTACCCTCTCTACTGGTTTGGAAGCCATAAACCCTTTTTTAAATCATTCTGTGGCTGCTCTTAATCTTAATAAAATCCAAAATGAATCTGTTCTCCTTCCTAGCAATGCTGTATCTTAATTCTCATCAATTGCCACCTGCTTTACATTGTATTTTTGTGTGTTATTTAGATTCTGCCTCCACATATTTACAGTGTTTTTATTATTTCATTTATACCAGTTTCTTGGTTTATTGTTCCTTTTTTCATCCCAGACCCTTTTTATGGAATCATTTTACTCTATCTGAAGTATTTCCATTAGCAATTCTTTTTTTTTTTTTTTTTTTTTTTTTTTTTTTTTTTTGAGACGGAGTCTCGCTCTGTCGCCCAGGCTGGAGTGCAGGGGCGCGATCTCGGCTCACTGCAAGCTCCGCCTCCCGGGTTCCCGCCATTCTCCTGCCTCAGCCTCCCGAGTAGCTGGGACCACAGGCGCCCGCCACCGCGCCCGGCTAAATTTTTGTATTTTTGGTAGAGACGGGGTTTCACCGTGTTAGCCAAGATGGTCTCGATCTCCTGACCTCGTGATCCACCCACCTCGGCCTCCCAAAGTGCTGGGATTACAGGCGTGAGCCACCGCGCCCGGCCTTCCTTTAGCAATTCTTTTAGCAAGAGTCTGATTATATTAAACATAGATTCTGTTTGCCTAAAATGTGTTTATTTTGTCCTAATTATGACACAATAGTTTGCTGAGCAAACATCTTGAGATGGATGCTATCTTCTGTCAGAATTTTAGGCTAGTGCTTTGTTCTGGATCCACTGATACTGTTGGAAAAAATTGTTTTTCATATAACGGTTATTTCACTGAAGGTAAACTTTTTACTCTGGCTATTTTTAAGGTCTTTTTTTTTTTTAATTTTGGTGGCCCGAAGTTGAAGTTTGTGCCCAGATGTGGGTTTCTTTTCATCTAATCTGCTTAGAAATGTTTGGTTTCTCTTATTTCCCTATCTTCACCTCCTATTTTTTTCATTTTTAATTTTTAATTTTATAGAGATGGGGTTTTGCTATGTTGCCTGGGCTGGTCTTGAACTGCTGGGCTCAAGCAATCCACTTGCCTTGGCCTCCCAAACTGCTGGAATTACAGGTGCGAGCCACCACGCTTGGCCAATCCTCGCCTTCTGGCCACTCTTCAGAACCTGTTGTGTCTTTGAGGGCTGATCTTTTTGTATCTTCACCTTCTTTCATATTTTGCATTTCATTATCTCCATTATGTCTCTGAGCTTCATTCTAGTAGTTTCTGTATAAGTCATTTTCTTAGCTACATTAATCTTTTGTTTATCTTACCTACTGAATTTTTAATTTGAGTGATTACATTTTCTGTTTGAGAGGTTCTTTTTGGTTCTTTTTTCAAATAGCCTGTTTTCTTTGGTATAGCATTTTGTTTCTAGTTCATAATTTCAATTTCTTTTTTGGATAATTTAAAAATACTTATTTTATAATTTGTATCCAATATTTTTATACTTGAAAGTCTTTGGTGGTTTTTTCTGCTGTTGGTTGTTTCCGTTAACTCTTGTATTTTGCTTTTTCAAAAACATATTTTGGATTAAGCTCACATTTAAGTGTTTGGACTTTACGTGCAAGAATCTGTCAAGGTTTATGTTGAGGGTGCACCTTCCGCAGAGAATTTGTGTTTTTGTTTCTTGGGCATTCCTGACTCAAGGTTGTGTAAAATAGTTTCTCGGTTTGAACTTTCCTGGAGTTACTGCGTGGTATGATTTTAAACCCAACTCCAGAGCGTGTCAACTGTACAGATGTTGTCATGAAAAACATCTATTTTTGTCACTTTGAGTCCAAACTAAGGATGACATTTTTTGGTCACCTTTTGTCATCTTTTTAAACCAGTGGATGGATATATATAGAGAGATATATTTTTATGTCTTTCTATATAATCTATAGAAAGTATATAAACATTTACATCAATGTTGTGGGCGCTGGCTTTATTTGGAGACCTTATTTGTAACTTCCTCTTTGGGCTGAGATCATGCCTCTCCTCCTGTCCTGTGTATCATGCAAAATGCAAGCCTTCAGGCCCAGAGGCTGCTGCCTGATCACTCCACAGCCGCAGTGATAGCTCACCGTTCGGGGTTTAAGTCTTCTTTTTATTTTTTGGCCTGTGAATATTTTTATGCCCTTTAAAGTTAATTATATTATTATTATTTCTTGCCTTGCTAAATGTTTTAAATATTTAGAAATATTTATTTATATAATATTTATAAATATGACGAAAATTTTTCAGAACACGTCTACCAAAATGGAATCCAAAATAGCCTCTCAATCCATCTCACCCTTCTTCTTTGACTCTTTCCGATCCGTTTTCTGTCAAGTAGCTAAAGTGATGTTAAGTGAAAATAGGATCATATTGTTACTGGAAGGAGGGCCTTGAGTGTCAGTTGTCCAGGTTCTTTGGTGTTTTGAACAAAGAATTGGACAAAACCCACAAAGCAACAAAGGAACGAGACACAAGAACAAAGCAGCGAAAGCTGAATTCACTGAAGCAAGACAGCCCTCCACAAGGTGTGAAAGCTGGAGTCACTGAAGCAAGACAGCACTCCACAGGGCGGGGGAAGGAGCCAGTTTTCCGGGTTTTAAGTACCCCTTTTGAGGCTCCTATAAGTTACCTCTTGTCTGGATGAAGGATTTGGTTCCTGGCTAATTAAAGGCTGAGGTGAATTGGTGCCCTATGCAGAGGAAGGGGTGGCCCATGCTTGGCCAATCAGGGCACTCTCTCTTTCCATCTGAGATGTGCTGGAAGCGGGAGGGCTGTAGGGAGATTTGATCCTTTGCTGCTCGGCGTGGGGAGATGGGATTTCCCCTTCTGGTTTAGTTTTAGGAAGTTCGTGTTAATTGGCCTTAGGTTCCCTACCCCCAGACCCAGGTGTCCTCCTTTTGATCCAGCTTTGAGAAGTCAGCACCAATTGGCCCCCAGACCCTGGTGTTTTTCCTCGATTCAGCACAAATTGGCCTTAAGTTCCAGACCCTGTTTTCCTGCCTCGATATCACTCCCTTGGTAAAAATCCTTCAATAGCCTTCTGTTATTGGTTAAATTGTATCCCTCAAAAAGACTTGTTTAAATCCTAACCCCTGGTACCTTGACTATGGCGTTGTTTGGAAATAGGATTTTTGCAGATATCATCAAGGTAACATGAGCTCATACTGACTTAGGGTGAGCCCTAGCCCACAGTGGTATTCTATGAGGGAAACGTGTACACAGAGACAGAGGCACTCCAGGAGAAGCCATGCGACCGTGAAGGCAGAGGCTGGATTGACAACGCCACAAGCCAGGGGATGCCAGGGACTGGCGGCAACCACCAGAAGCTGGGAGGAAAGCGTGAGACGGCTCCTCTCTCTGAGTCCCCAAGTAGGAATCGACCATGCTGTCATCTTGCTTCCAGACTTCTGACCTCCAGAACTGAGACAGAATAAATTCCTGTTGTTTAAGTCACCCAGTTTGTGATAGTTTTGCTATGGTTGCCCACTGGTAAATGAATGAGCTAGTGAAGAAAACTGGTACAGCAGACCAGAGGGAACGGAAACGCAAGTGCTCTCACAGGGAGGCCTGGAAGCGAGCTGATTGATGTTGCAGAGCAAATACACTTCCCCTTATAATTAGTATAAAGTAAAAGATCATTAGCGTTGCTGGTGGTGTCTGTTTCATCTTTCCACTCTACTTTCGAGCTTCAGGTTGCTGTCATTGCTTTCACTGGCCTTTTTACAGTTTCTTGAACAAGCTCTTGTCTGACCCAGGAGTATTGTACATGCTGATCCCTCTGCCTAAGAGACTCACCTGAGTTTTGCTTGAATAACTACTGCTTATCAGATCTCACTTCCTCGAAGATCTCTTTCATAACAGTTTCCCCCATCCGTCTCTAAACTACGCCCCTTATTTTTGTTTCTGCACTTTCTTTGCCTTCATAGCATTTATCACAGATTATGACTTGTTTGTAAGATGATTTTGAAATGTCTGTCTTCTCTGCCAGACTATAACCCCATTAGGTAGTGAGGTGCCTGTTTCACTCTTCTCTGTTTCCCAACTACCAGCACAGAGGTGGGTATGCCATAAATATTTTTGAAGAAAGGAAAACACCTTTTTAGGCTTGTAATTAGAAGGATGGATACAAAAAGAGAAATGCCTATTTTCAAGTTGTTTTTATATTAAGGCCAGAGTGTTAGACATGCTGCTCCAATCATTCTTATTTAAGCAGCTTTCTGACAGGTTAGTAATAAATGCCACAGTGTTAAAAGAGCAATCACCCGTCATTCAAGCAGAGCCACACCTTGAAATACACTTGAAATGTCATATGTTAGTACAGTCAGTGTTATTTCACCGGTTACTTATAGCAGGTACTGCTGAAATGCTTAATGACTAGGTTGGTTCAGTGTTCAAACTCAGTACTCTGTTTATACCAAGAGAGCAGAAACATTCACTAAACGTATTCTAAAGCATGTGCTTTCTTTAAAAAATTAGCATAAACTTGTCATTTTGTGCTGAATTACAGGCAATATTTAGGGTCATTTGGGATCTTCGAGGTAACAATGTACAAAATTTCTTCTAGTATGTGGTTCTTCAGGCCTCATCACGGAATTCTCTACCTGCCTTGGTTTGGCAGAGGGCTAGCTTACTGACCCTCAGAGCAGATCACAAATTCATCTTTTAGACTATGTTTATTTCCTGACTGCGTTCTCTGTGCTTGTGCCCTGAGACAGTTAAATTATGAAGAGTACAATTCTATAAATCCAAACATGTCACAAATAATTGTGGCCCCAGGGCCCAAAGAGTTATGAGAGAATATAATGGAAGAAACAGCTACTATGTTTGCCACTCCATTAAAAAAAGAACTCATTCTAGCTAACCTCATTTAGTAGGTAAACTTTGCAACAGTGTTGAAGAAAGTAAGAAAACACATAGGCGACCCCACGTGGAAATGCCACTTTGCTAAAATGACATTTTGATCTATTGCTTATGGAATACTGTGGATGGTCCTTAAATCTGTTAGAGACTTATGGTCTAATAATGTTATGTGCTCTCAAAATTCTGGAAATGTTTTTACAGTTGTAACTTGCATTCAGCAAAATTGATAATTGTGATTTGGAGTGATGTCAGCAAGATGGCAGAATAAGAGGACCCTGGCTTCACTACCATCTCCTGCCGCCTGCCACACATAGAAAGTTCAGCTAGCAAACACCTGCAGACAAGAATACCTTGGTGAAAACCCTAACATGTGGGAATAAGCCAGAGTCAGCTGTGTGGTCCAGAAAGGAATAAACACTACATTAAAGGGTAAGAAAAACAATCCCATGTTGACCATGTCACTCCTCCTCCTCCCCTAAGTCAGCACAGCACCTCGCAGATGGAATTCCCCAGAAACTACAGTTCCTACAGAGCAAAAGGAGAATCAGAGGCAGACATGAAGCTTCCCTAGCATTCTGAGATGCTTCCCAGGAAGCCCACTCTGGTCTCACCTCAGGAGGAACAGAGGGGAAATGGCATGGCTAGACCACCTTGGGTGAGATAGAAGCAAAGCGAGGAGGCAGAGTCCACAGTGACAAGCAGACAGATCCTGGCTGTAGCTCTGCACACCTGCCAGCAGTAGCACCCAATCAATAGTACCAGCTAACACCATACCCACCTGCAAATCTGAGCTGGTCACCCTCAGAAGCGGTGGGAAGTTCTACCTGGCTTGAATCCTTAGATGACCAGCCTCAGACCCTACCCTGAGAACATGTCCAGGGAGGGAGATAACCACTACAGCAAATTTTGGCAAAGATCCAGGGCTAGTGTTGTCACACTCAGGAGTTTATTACTATTATCACTTTCATTTGAGATAGGGTCTCACTCTGTCACCTCAGCTGGAGTGCAGTGGCGTGATCACAGCTCACTGTAGCTTCGACTTCCTGGGCTCAAGTGATCCTCCAGCCTCAGCCTCCCAAGCAGCTTGGACTACAGGTGCATGCCACCACACCTAGCTAATTTTTAAACTTTTTGTAAACACGGGGTCCCACTATGTTGCCCAGCCTGGTCTTTAACTCCTGGGCTCAAGCAATCTTGTTGTCCCAGCTTTCCAAAGTACTGGGATTATAGGGGTGAGCCACCATGCCTGGCCACACCGAGGAGTGTTTAAATAGTACTTTGCATGGCCTCAAAGCCCACACACATATCCCACCCAAGGAAGGGGACAACCACCGCAGCAAATTTCAGCAAAGAGCTAGGACTTGACCTAGCACACCCAGGAGTTTAAATAATGCTCAGCCTAGTCTCAAAGCCCACCCCAAGACCTCACTTAAGCAGGTAGGCAAACCTCAACTGTGCATTTTTACCGAGCATAGTAGCTGGTCCCATCCATCCTAGTCAGTGACTCCACCTAACCTCAGAGTGCTTTCTGCAACCCTGTTTAACTGCTGACTTTAAATTGAGGTACCAACTGGCCAGAGAATACTACACTTCATGGCCCAGTCTAATCAGAGGCAAATTGCAGTGCCCATCCAGCAGTCCATCCTCACTGGAGAGTTCAGCTTAGTGGTCTTGCTGAGCTCTTGCTTGGGTAGCAGATCCCAGCCAGCTGCCCCATTCAAACTCACAGAAAAGGCAGCACACCATCAATGAAAGAACCCCCAAATAAGCTCTACATATTCAGGGTTGTTATGAGCTGATGTGTTCAGAACCACAGGCTACACTAAACTGTGACAATTATTCCTGCCAAAGAATACCTGCAAAAACTGGAAAAGGTGGCTATCACCTCAAATATGCAGACACTAATGTAAGGATAGAAGGATAACATCCTTACAAGGGTAACAAAGACTCAGGAAATCATGACACCTCTAAAAAGAAAAATCAACTAAAATAGATTTAACAATGCACCCCAAGGAAAGGACAATTTATAAAATGACAGACAATGAGTTTAGAAAAATCCTCTTAAAGAAGATCATGAACTACAATAATATAGGGATAGAAAATTAAATGAAATTTGGAAAACAATACATGAACAAAATGAGAACTTCGATGAAACAGAAATAATTCTTAAAAACCAACAGAAATTCAAGAGTTGAAGAATACAATGACTGAACTGAAAAGATGCAACTGAAAGCTCCCACAGCAGGTTTGATCAAGCTAAAAGAAGAATCAGTGAACTGGAAGATAGAACATTTGATATTATCCAATCAGAGTAGCAAAAATTAAAAAAAATAAATTTAAGAATGAAGAAAGCCTGCAGAAATATGTGCCACCCTCAAGAGACTGAATATACACATAATATAAATTCCAGAAAGAGAAGAAAGACAAAAAAGGGTAAGAAAGCATATTTAAAAAATAATGGCTGAGAATTTTCCTAATATGAGGATATATACCAATATCAAGGTATAGGAAGCACAGAGGTCTCCAGTCAAATTCAACCCAGAGAGGAGTTTACCAAGACACATAATAAACTATCACAAATAAAAGACAAAGAAAAAATTCTGAGAGTGGCAAGAGATAAAAAGCCACACAGCACCTAGAATAGTCTCAATAGACTCTCACCAGATTTTTCAATGGAAACCCTGAAGGCCAGGAGATAATGGGATGATAGATTCAAAATGTTGAAGGAAAATAAAAATAGCCAACCAAGAATATTTTACTCAGAAAATCCGTCTTTGTGAAATGAGGAAGAAATAAAAATTTTCCCAGACAAACCAAAGCCAAAGGAGGTCATCATCACTGGGCCTGCCTTACAGGAATTGCTAAAGGGAGTTTCTTAAGCTGAAATAAAAGGCCAATAATTATTAACAGAAAATGTACAAATGCACAAAACTCAATGGCATAATAAAGAATCATATGTGGAATGCTCTAGGACTGTAATGATGATGTGTAAGGCAATTTTATTCCTAGTATGGGGGTTAAAAGACAAAATTATTAATAAAACTTAGCTAAATACATTTTCAAGGGATAGATATTATAAAATGTAAATTCGTACATCAAAAACATAAAATATCAGGGAGATAACAGTGGAGAGTTGTGTGACTTTGACTACCTACAACTGTTATAGCATAACAATTATATGAACTGTCAAAATAGACTGTTACACTTGTAAAATGTTTTATGTAAGCTTCATACTAATCACAAAGCAAAAATCTACAGTAGACACACAAAACAAAAATAGAAAGAATTCAAAGTATACCACTAAAGAAAATCATCAAGCCACAAAAGAAGACAGAAAGAAAGGAAGATGGAAACAAAGTATCTACAAAACAATCAGAAACCAATTCACAAAATGGAGGTAGTAAGTCCTTAACATTCATAATTACCTTGAATGTAAATGCTCCAATAAAAAGACAGAGTGGCTGAATGGATTAAAAACAAGACCCAGTTATATGCTACCTACAAGATACTCATCTTACTTTTAAAAACACATATAGGCATGCGTAACAAACCTGCACGTTGTGCGCATGTGCTCTAGAACTTAAAGTATAATAAATATATATATATATCACATATAGACTAAAAGTGAAGAGATGGAAAAAGATATCCCATGCTTGTGAATTGGAAGAATTAATATTGCTAAAATGTACATACTACCAAAAGCAATATGCAAATTCAATATAATCTCTTTCAAAACTTCAATGCCATTTTCACAGAAATAAAAAGACAACTAAAATTCACATGGAATTGCAAAAAACCTTGAATAGCCAAGGCAATCGTGGGCAAAAAGAACAAAGCTGTAAGCATCACACTACTCATTTCAAACTATACTACTACATCAGCTTAGTGCTGCCATAAAAATAAACACATCAAAAAACAAACAAAAAAAGAAAAACAGACAAATCAATGAATGGATTAGGATAGAGAGCCAAGAAAGGAACCAACACATGTATGAACAATTGATTTTCAATAAGGCATCCATAGATAATTATTAAATAAATGAGTCTGGCTGCATTCATAGGACAAATAAAACAGTTGATTGTCAGAATTTGGCCAGTGGCTGGAGTTTACTGACCCCTGATCTAGGCATTGAGCATTAAAGACTGCCAACATAAAAGAGATAGAGTCAACTAGATAGTATGTGATTCCTGATGGGAGAACATGCTAGCAGGTATAGTCTTGTCAAATAAACCTCTGGATTCAGTTAACAATTTGCAGCAGAAGCAGAGTTTGGAAGAACATACTGAATTGTACTCTAAATAGGCAATCAGCCAAGTCAAAACCACAAGCACCTCTCCAGGTTCTGCAAAGGATCAATTATAAAACTAAATTACAAAAGATCGTAAGTGTGCCAAGAATACACAATATAAAATGGATATCTTTAATAAATGTTTTTGAGAAAATTGGATATCTATATATAGAAGAATTAAATTGAAACCTTTTCTCATATCATGTGAAAAAATTAACTCAAAATGGGTCGAAGACTTAAGCATAAAATCTGAAACTGTAAAACTACTAGAAAAAAACATAGGGAGAAAACTACATGAAATTGGTTTGGGCAATTACATTTTCAATTTTACTCTACAACCACAGGCAACAAAAGCAAAAAGAGATGAATGGGATTTCATGAAATATGAAAGCTTCTGTATAACAAAGGAAACAACAGAAACAACCTACAAATTAGGAGAAAATATTTGCAAGCCATATATCTGATAAGAAGCTAATATCCAAAATGCATGCGGAACTCAAACAACTCTAGAAAACAAATAAGACTAATTTAAAAAATGGGCATAGGACCTGAATAAACATTTTTCAGGAGAAGATATACAAATTACCTACAAATATATGTAAAAAGAAAAAACTCAATATCACTAATCATTAGGGAAATGCAAGTTAAAACCACAATGAGACAGCACCTCACACCTCTCAACATGGCTATTTAAAAAAAAAGAGAGAAGGGATTAAAAAGTTTTGGTGAGAATGTGGAGAAAAGAGAACTTTTGTACTCTGTTCTTGGGAATGTAAATTAGTACAACTTTTATGGAAAACTGTATGGAGGTTCCTCAAAAAACTAAAAATAGAATTACCATATGACCTGGCAATCCCGCTTGTGTGTATTGACACAAAACCCATATCTATGCCAGAGAGATGTCTGCACTCCCGTGTTCATTGCAGCTCTGTTCACAATAGCCAAGTTACGGTATCAACTTAAGTGACCATCAGATGATTGGATAAATAAAACATGGTCTATACACATACAATGAAATTCTATTCAGCCTTATAAGAGAAAGAAGCTTGGTCGTTTGCAACAACCTAGGTCAATTAAGCCTCCAGGCATATGAGGTCCATTGTTGTGAGTTTATATGTGTCCTGAAGGGTCCTGAATCCCTTCGTAGGGAACTCTGGTCTTTAAAGTTCCAGGTGAGGTCTAAGATTTTCTGGTGGTTTTGACATATAGAATCATAAACTTTTATAGCTAAAGGAATCTTTTCTTATATTTCATTTATTCTTTTTCCCCTAGTTTATAGATTAGATCTAAAGAGGTCCCTTGACTTGCCTGAAGCAATGCCTCTGGTTAATGATGAACCAGTATTGGAACCCAAGTCTCCAAATTATTAGTCAGCTCAGTGCTTTTGCACTGAACTCTGCTACATCTGAAAGATGCCTTGTTCCTCATGTTCAGTAAAGAATGGTCTACAGATTAGACAAAATCGACACATTTATAAACAAAAATAGCAACACCAACAAACAAAAATATTTTGCTGCCCAGAGACGGGTGGGCCCTGTTAGTGCTGTTTGGTTTAGGATACCTTGGGCTTGTACTAGAGGTGAAGTAACTCACCCCTCGACAGGAGCAAGACCTTTTGAAACACCAGTCTGTAAAGAGTAAGATCTACCCAGCTTAGCTGCCAGAATCATCACTTCCATTGTCAGTTGAGTTCCTCTGGTCTAGACAGTCATCTTATAAATTCCTTAACCAGCTTTTAAAAGGCCATAAAAGGATTAGTAGATAGAATGAATGAACCTAGATGTAGAACGAGAATTATATATGCATACATTTTTTTCATACAGGAAACAAACATTAATGATCAACAAACTAAATGTACATTATAGTTATGGTAAAATGTTAATATTCAACAAACTAAATATATTTTACATTGTGGCTATGCTATTAACTCTGAATCTTCCTTACTTTGTAATTCATGAAAATCAGAGCCAGAACTGGAGAACAGAGGTCTCTGAGGTGTCTCATTTGAGTTCTCTTTCTTCGTCATCTAGATTGCATGTTGCAGGATGACCTTTCTGTTTGTCCTGTGCTGAGCTGTCTAGGATTGGTTGCCCATGTGTATCCTAGTGTTCAATACTAATTGTACAGAATTTTTAGGACTTTCTGAAGGGTTTCAAAGTCTAAATTTAAGTAAAGACAGTTTTTTTTAAAATCAACTTAAGAGGTATATAATTTATATACAACAAAAGGCCTACATTTTAAAGATCAAGTACAGTGTGTTTTGACAAATGTATGTGTTGGTGTACCCAAGGTGTAGAACATTTCTGTAACTCTAGAAGTTCCCTCTTGCCCCTTGTCAGTCAGTCTTCACCAGTAATTTTTCAGCCCCAGAAAACCACCAATTGCTCTGTGTCCCTATAGATTGGTTTTGCTGGTTTTCAAACTTCATATAAGTGGAATCACACAATATGTATTCATTTGTGTCTGATATCTTTTGCTCAGCATAAAAGATGGCATATTTTATCAAACATTTCTAAGGAAGGTGATTTCATACAATGCATCCTAAAAACACAGGTTGGTCATTTTATCTTGTCAATAACCAAACCCTTCCGGCTGCGTGTCTTCCCTACACAGCCTCTGAAATAGTGTCTGCTGGGTCTCTTGCCTAAGCAGCCTCTGACATAGTGTCTGCTGGGTGTCTTCTCTAAACAGCCTCTGACATAGTGTCTGCTGGGTGTCTCCTCTGAACAGCCTCTGACATAGTGTCTGCTGGGTGTCTTCTCTAAACAGCCTCTGACATGGTGTCTGCTGGGTGTCTCCTCTGAACAGCCTCTGACATAGCGTCTGCTGGGTCCCTTCTCTAAGCAACCTCTGACATAGTGTCTTCTGGGTCTCTTCTCTGAGCAGCTTCTGACATAGCGTCTGCTGGGTCCCTTCTCTGAGCAGCCTCTGACATAGTGTCTTCTGGGTCTCTTCTCTGAGCAGCCTCTGACATAGTGTCTGCTAGGTCTCTTCTCTGAGCAGCCTCTGACATAGGGTCTGCTGGGTGTCTCCTCTGAACAGCCTCTGACGTAGTGTCTGCTGGGTGTCTTCTCTGAGCAGCCTCTGACATAGTGTCTGCTGGGTCCCTTCTCTGAGCAGCCTCTGACATAGTATCTGCTGGGTCCCTTCTCTGAGCAGCCTCTGACATAGTGTCTGCTGGGTGTCTCCTCTGAGCAGCCTCTGACATAGTGTCTGCTGGGTGTCTTCTCTGAGCAGCCTCTGACATAGTGTCTGCTGGGTCCCTTCTCTGAGCAGCCTCTGACATAGTGTCTGCTGGGTGTCTTCTCTGAGCAGCCTCTGACATAGTGTCTGCTGGGTCCCTTCTCTGAGCAGCCTCTGACATAGTGTCTGCTGGGTGTCTCCTCTGAACAGCCTCTGACATAGTGTCTGCTGGGTGTCTCCTCTGAACAGCCTCTGACATAGTGTCTGCTGGGTCCCTTCTCTGAGCAGCCTCTGACATAGTGTCTGCTGGGTCCCTTCTCTGAGCAGCCTCTGACATAGTGTCTGCTGGGTGTCTCCTCTGAGCAGCCTCTGACATAGTGTCTGCTGGGTCCCTTCTCTGAGCAGCCTCTGACATAGTGTCTGCTGGGTCCCTTCTCTGAGCAGCCTCTGACATAGTGTCTGCTGGGTCCCTTCTCTGAGCAGCCTCTGATATAGTGTCTGCTGGGTCCCTTCTCTGAGCAGCCTCTGACATAGTGTCTGCTGGGTGTCTCCTCTGAGCAGCCTCTGACATAGTGTCTGCTGGGTCCCTTCTCTGAGCAGCCTCTGATATAGTGTCTGCTGGGTGTCTCCTCTGAACAGCCTCTGACATAGTGTCTGCTGGGTGTCTTCTCTGAGCAGCCTCTGATATAGTGTCTGCTGGGTCCCTTCTCTGAGCAGCCTCTGACATAGTGTCTGCTGGGTCCCTTCTCTGAGCAGCCTCTGACATAGTGTCTGCTGGGTCCCTTCTCTGAGCAGCCTCTGACATAGTGTCTGCTGGGTCCCTTCTCTGAGCAGCCTCTGACATAGTGTCTGCTGGGTCCCTTCTCTGAGCAGCCTCTGACATAGTGTCTGCTGGGTCCCTTCTCTGAGCAGCCTCTGACATAGTGTCTCCTG
This sequence comes from Homo sapiens, assembly GCF_000001405.40. NCBI lineage: Eukaryota > Metazoa > Chordata > Mammalia > Primates > Hominidae > Homo > Homo sapiens. The sequence continues at coordinate 184,930 of NT_187543.1, read as the reverse complement.
GGTGTCTTCTCTGAGCAGCCTCTGATATAGTGTCTGCTGGGTCCCTTCTCTGAGCAGCCTCTGACATAGTGTCTGCTGGGTCCCTTCTCTGAGCAGCCTCTGACATAGTGTCTGCTGGGTGTCTTCTCTGAGCAGCCTCTGACATAGTGTCTGCTGGGTGTCTTCTCTGAACAGCCTCTGACATAGTGTCTGCTGGGTCCCTTCTCTGAACAGCCTCTGACATAGTGTCTGCTGGGTGTCTCCTCTGAACAGCCTCTGACATAGTGTCTGCTGGGTGTCTCCTCTGAGCAGCCTCTGACATAGTGTCTGCTGGGTGTCTTCTCTGAGCAGCCTCTGACATAGTGTCTGCTGGGTGTCTCCTCTGAACAGCCTCTGACATAGTGTCTGCTGGGTGTCTTCTCTGAGCAGCCTCTGACATAGTGTCTGCTGGGTGTCTCCTCTGAACAGCCTCTGACATAGTGTCTGCTGGGTGTCTTCTCTGAGCAGCCTCTGACATAGTGTCTGCTGGGTGTCTCCTCTGAACAGGCTCTGACGTAGTGTCTGCTGGGTGTCTCCTCTGAGCAGCCTCTGACGTAGTGTCTGCTGGGTGTCTTCTCTGAGCAGCCTCTGACATAGTGTCTGCTGGGTGTCTCCTCTGAACAGCCTCTGACATAGTGTCTGCTGGGTGTCTCCTCTGAACAGCCTCTGACATAGTGTCTGCTGGGTGTCTCCTCTGAACAGCCTCTGACATAGTGTCTGCTGGGTGTCTCCTCTGAACAGCCTCTGACATAGTGTCTCCTGGATGTCTTCTCTAAGCAGCCTTTGACATAGTGTCTGCTGAAGCTTCAAGGGTTGTTGATTGGGACTAGATGTTCAGAGGTCAACATCAATTTTGAACTAAAAAATGGATTCCCCACCAGAAACTATTCTAGCACTTCCCATATATGATGATTAAACACCCCCTTGGTTGAAACTGTCTCAGCTTTTAATATGCCACCATTTTGTTGCTACTGGTGAGCTTCAGAGCTCTTTTTAAGAAACCTGTCCTTGGTGCCTTTCCCATGACTCCGCTTGTTTACTTCTTTTTTCTTGTCACTCCCATCAATCCCTCAGATATCAGCAATCTCCTGTTGTTATTCCCATTAAGGCCTGTCTTCCATACCTTTCTCTGCTAACAAAACCTTCGTTTTCATGTTCTTATTTCACCACTGCTCCCAGCTATCTCCCACTCTAGACAAGATCGTTGATCGAATCACCCTAAGTTATAGGCTGCAGCTGTGTCCAGCACCGTGTCAGCCACAAAGGGCGAGGAAAACAAGGCCCTTGTTCTCAGCAAGTCCACAGGGTGCTGGGGGATAGGCATACAACTCTCATTGACAATTGTCTTTTCTATTCCCCTTAAGGGTCCCTGTCATGGATTTGAAGACAGATTTGTGGGCCACCAGCCTTGAGTTAGTCATTTGGCCACCACTTCTCCAAGTCCTGTGCTTTCCCCTGCATGACTGTGGACCCCCAGTCGCTTTGCTAGTAGTTGTGGTCTGGAATTAAGGATATACACCCCCTCACAGCCATTGTGATAGCACTGCATGAAACTGGGGTAGGGCGGGCATGTGTGACTATACGGCAGGTGTCACTTCTCCTAGTGAACCCCAGCGTCCTGTCTCAGGGTCACCATCATTCACAGTTATGTAAAGAAGCCAGAGGAATTGCATGCACTTAAGTAAACTTAAAAATCATCTCCTAATTATTATTGATCTTCTCATCAGAGACAAGGTGCCCAAGAACTGAATGGGAGGGAGGTGGGCACGCCACCTTATAGCCCAAGAATCATTAGTCAGGACAGCCTATTTATAAAAATAGCTTGCTAAGAGGAGTTTTAAAGACCACAGAAGAGTACATTTCTTTACTAGTTTTATTTACTAAAAGTGTAAAAATTAGACTTTTAAATCATTTGATTCCAGAGGCACATTTTTTAAAAAATGTAGTTTTTGAGAATTATAAGAGGTATATTAAAAAATTTTAAGTTTGTCTCTTTTTTTTGAAAGCTGAAAATTAATCTAATGCTATTCTTGTCAACCAAAATAGGAGAGAGCTGAGGGACACAGCATGGAAAACATGAAAGAGCTGAGGGACACAGGACGGAGAATATGAAAATAGGAGAGAACCGAGGGACATGCAAGGAGAATAGGAGAGAGCCGAGGGACACGGCACAGAGAATAGGAGAGAGCCGAGGGACACGGCACAGAGAATAGGAGAGAGCCGAGGGACACGGCACGGAGAATGGGAGAGAGCCGAGGGACAGGGCACGGAGAATGGGAGAGAGCCGAGGGACACGGCACGGAGAATGGGAGAGAGCCGAGGGACACGGCACGGAGAATGGGAGAGAGCCGAGGGACACGGCACGGAGAATGGGAGAGAGCCGAGGGACACGCAAGGAGAATGGGAGAGAGCCGAGGGACACGGCACGGAGAATGGGAGAGAGCCGAGGGACACGGCACGGAGAATGGGAGAGAGCCGAGGGACACGGCACGGAGAATGGGAGAGAGCCGAGGGACACGGCACGGAGAATGGGAGAGAGCCGAGGGACACGCTAGGAGAATAGGAGAGAGCCGAGGGACAGGGCACGGAGAATGGGAGAGAGCCGAGGGACACGCAAGGAGAATAGGAGAGAGCCGAGGGACACGGCACAGAGAATAGGAGAGAGCCGAGGGACACGGCACGGAGAATGGGAGAGAGCCGAGGGACAGGGCACGGAGAATGGGAGAGAGCCGAGGGACACGGCACGGAGAATAGGAGAGAGCCGAGGGACACGGCACGGAGAATGGGAGAGAGCCGAGGGACAGGGCACGGAGAATGGGAGAGAGCCGAGGGACACGCAAGGAGAATGGGAGAGAGCCGAGGGACACGGCACGGAGAATGGGAGAGAGCCGAGGGACACGCTAGGAGAATGGGAGAGAGCCGAGGGACAGGGCACGGAGAATGGGAGAGAGCCGAGGGACACGGCACGGAGAATGGGAGAGAGCCGAGGGACACGGCACGGAGAATGGGAGAGAGCCGAGGGACACGCTAGGAGAATAGGAGAGAGCCGAGGGACAGGGCACGGAGAATGGGAGAGAGCCGAGGGACACGCAAGGAGAATAGGAGAGAGCCGAGGGACACGGCACAGAGAATAGGAGAGAGCCGAGGGACACGGCACGGAGAATGGGAGAGAGCCGAGGGACAGGGCACGGAGAATGGGAGAGAGCCGAGGGACACGCAAGGAGAATGGGAGAGAGCCGAGGGACACGGCACGGAGAATGGGAGAGAGCCGAGGGACACGCAAGGAGAATGGGAGAGAGCCGAGGGACACGGCACGGAGAATGGGAGAGAGCCGAGGGACACGGCACGGAGAATGGGAGAGAGCCGAGGGACAGGGCACGGAGAATGGGAGAGAGCCGAGGGACAGGGCACGGAGAATGGGAGAGAGCCGAGGGACACGGCACGGAGAATGGGAGAGAGCCGAGGGACACGGCACGGAGAATGGGAGAGAGCCGAGGGACAGGGCACGGAGAATAGGAGAGAGCCGAGGGACAGGGCACGGAGAATGGGAGAGAGCCGAGGGACACGGCACGGAGAATGGGAGAGAGCCGAGGGACACAGCACGGAACCATAGTTCAAGTGATCTGAAATTACCTGATATGGTTTTAAGCTCATGGAATAGGAGAGATTTGGCACTTAAGAATGTTTAAGGGGATATATTAACCTTTTCTCAGGGGTTATGTAGCCGATGAGCACAGTTCTAAAAAAAGGCAGGCTTTAGTGCAGCGTAGTCAAATACAAACTCCAAAAAAGGGACCTGAATGAATAGATTGTCCAGGAAATTATGGTTGAAATGAATGCTGCTGGAAATGATGAGTTTGGAAAATGAATGTGTTTTTACTAAGATGTGAAGTGAAGAAAAAAGGAAAAAGTAATATGACTCATGAAGATTTTGTGATCTGGTACTAAGCAATGTGAACTGGTTCCGGTGATTCAGCCTCTGGGAAGACACTGTCCTATCATGATTTACAACCAAGGGTCTGGGACTGGATACAGGATGCTATTCGTATTGATCACATAGTCTTATTTCATCAGAATTTAGATCTTTAAGATAAATGGAAGGCATTTGATCACATTTGTATTAGTAAATTGCTGAGATTTGACTGCAAGTGATAAAATAAAAAGAGGTTGAAAATGAACTGGTAAAAAAGATTAAAAAACTGTAATTGCTGGTGAAAGTAAAACTGGTTTATGTAGCTGTGGACTCAGGCTCTATTTTCTGACAGTTTGACAGGCAATTGAAACACAACATTAAACAGTAAAGGTTATGCCTTTAGCAATAAATTAATCTAAAGAGCCATCTTTTCTTTTAATCTCACATGCAATGCAAACTTATTACAAATCTACTTTCTTGTCCCAACATTCCTTTTATGTAGTAAAAGCTTTTGTTTGCAGGAGGTTATGGTGAATGACCAACATGGATTTCTTGTAAGATTTCATCACTGAAGGAGCAGTTTTAGTGAAATATGCGAAGTGATTTTTGTTCCTGATCTTCCATCAAAAAGCTGTGCAAGAGATAGCCACTTGCAGAACCTACTGTGGGATGTTTTGGGGGGTGGGGGGTTTTACATTTAATTAAATTAATTAATTTATTTATTTTGAGACGGAGTCTCGCTCTGTCGCCCAGGCTGGAGTGCAGTGGCGCCATCTCAGCTCACTGCAAGCTCCGCCTCCCGGGTTCACGCCATTCTCCTGCCTCAGCCTCCCAAGTAGCTGGGATTACAGATGCCCGCCACCACGCCCGGCTAATTTTTGTATTTTTAGTAGAGACGGGGTTTCGCCATGTTGGCCAGGCTGGTCTTGAACTCCTGACCTCAGGAGATCCACCCACCTTGGCCTCCCAAAGTGATGGGATTACAGACCTAAGCCACTGCACTGGGCCAATTTTATTTGTATTTTTGGAAAGTGCTACCTATGTTTTCCTGCCAGTCCCCACTCTCCCAGAGGCAAACAAAAGATGCGTTTCCAGGATTTTTTTCTCAATGATCACCCAGAAGACTCCCTGGATCTTAGGGCAATAAGGTGCTTTTGTTCTAAAGCTGGGAGGCAGGATTGGTGCTGTGAATGTGTGGCCGTGCGCTCAAAAGTGCTCTATGCTTAGCAGGACCCTGCACCTGATTTAATGGTTTGTGGCTTTGGTCTTGAAATTCTTAACGAAGTTTGAACAAGGGGCCTTGCATTTTCATTTTGTACTGGGCCTCGCAAATTATGTCGTCCGTCTTACTGATAGTAACATAATAAGTGACATTGATTGTGTTCTTAGCAGGAACTGTTTTAAGCTTCTTACCTGTATCAGTTCATCTAATATTTGTAACAATCCTCTGAGTTAGGTGTTATGGCTCTCAATTGCAGATGAGAGACTGAGCACAGAGAGGGGAAATTGTTAAACTAGTAAGCTGTGGGGCAGATTCTAACCCAAATCACCTGCTTCTGGAGCTGGTGCTCCTAACTGCTGACCATGCCGCCTCCACCCCACTTGCTTTCTGAACTTCTCATGGCTTGTGTGTGCTGGAACAGGCACCACCTAAAGCAAACTGCATAAGGCTTGTTTGCTGAGAATGCATTCAGCAAATGCAAATATACGACCTGAAGAAGTCAAGCAGAATTCCTCAATCTCATCTGAAATTAACTAGCTGTTACCTTGGGCAGGTTTCAGATGCAGTGGAGGGAAGAAGGGAAATGAGCAAGGGAAAGAGTTTTAAAAAATGTAAAGTCAGCACGAGCGACAGAGTGAGATCCTGTCTCAAAAAACAATATTAAAAGGTGGGGGCATAGTTGCACCTGGCAGGGCCCCTGGTGGTCAGCTTGGGAGGAGTGATGTGGGGTAGGAGGGGGTCAGGCTGGAGGACAAGGGAAAACATGACAAAGTACAACCACGCTGCCAACTTAGCCGTTTGATTATGGCCGACGCTGGAGACAAGTCACGCAGTTTTAAATTGTTTCAGGGACTGAGTGAGAATACTTTTCTGATTTCCAGGTGACTGCACATGTGAGTGCTGGTGGGTGTGTGGCTGGAGGTGGCTGACGCAGCCCAAATGTTGAAAAATGCAGTGAGACACCTTCCAGCAGCTGCGGCTGGGCCTAGGATTTAACAGCTTCTTGCAGCTGGGGCTGGGTATAGGATCTACAAGCTATTGCCAGGCTGCAGGGGAGACTTTGTTGCCACCCTTCAGAACGCACCACCTAGTAGGCGACACAGCGTAGGAACTTCAGAGTATGTGAGCAATGAACACATGAATCTCACAGTTGTCCACCCTGCTAGTGTTTAAGGTGGGTTCAGTATTCAACAACTCTCTTTCTGACTGACGGATTAGATCTATCAAGAAAATTTGGGCTGGGTGCGGTGGCTGATGCTTGTAATCTCAGCACTTTGGGAGGCTGAGGTGGGCGGATCACTTGAGGCCAGGAGTTTGAGACCAGCCTGGCCAACATGGTGAAACCCTGTCTCTACTAAAAATACAAAAATTAGCCAGGTGTGGTGACGTGTACGCTACTCGGGAGGCTGAGGTGGGAGCACTATTGAAATGGGGAGGCAGAGGTTGAAGTGAGCCGAGATTGCACCGCTGCACTCCAGCCTGGGCAACAAGAACGAGTCTCCATCTAAAAAAAAAAAAGTTACAATTTGTTGTACTTCTGCTTACCACAACTGTTGATCCACAGAGTAGAACAGGGTCCTTGAGTACGCGAGTTTTGTTTGATGTTATGCCATTGCAGTGCCCAGCATACTGACTCTGTGATTGCCTGTTGTTAGGATAGGATAAAAAGAAACCCAATCTTTTAGGTCCCAAGTTTCTCGTTTCCCACCGTAGGCTAAACATGGTGCCTGAATCTCAATGTCGTGACAAGGTGTGTTCATTCCTAGTAGGCTCAGACGAAAGCTTCTTGCTTCGAGTCGCCGTAGTGCTCAACGGTGGTGTGATCTGCCGCATCCTAAGAAATATGTGTTTGACCTTTGTCCCAGGTTCTTTGCACAGAGTTCCCACAGCCCTTGTAATTTTCTGGGAGACGGGGTGGGAGGACCATCTTTTGCTGTTCATAATAAACCACTGACAACTGTGCCTGAGTTTACAGTAAGGACCCTTGATGGGTCCCTAGATAGCTTCAGAATGGGGCTGGTTGCCAGGAGAGCCAACTACGTGATTAGAGGGTTGGGTGGACAAATTTGCTTTGAAGGAGAATTGATTTTTGAGGAGGATATAAAATATCTACTTTGTAGCCAATGACCTCCTTGGAAGAGTGTTTTTTCTTTTTAATATTAGCCACTATGAACTTAAAGAGCCAGTAGCTATGTGATTATAGTTAGATGTATTCGATGTCTGTGCCATCCCTGCAATAAAGTACATCACAGCATTCCCAAGGCTGTGTTAACAAGGCAGTCCCAGATGCTCTCGGCGTCTTCCTTCTTTCTGGAGATTTTACCTTTTGTTTTCCTTTTTTCTTTTCACATAAGACCTGTATTTCTGATCAGAGAGGTTAAGGACTGTTGCTCCTCACTGTTTTTAAAACGTGACTTTGCTACAAGCCACCTCTACTTGTTTCTAAATTCAGGGATATTCTATGCTACTTAAGATGCGTTACTGCCCATCTCTGGTCAAAAGTATTCTTTTAAATTTCAGCATTCATCTAAAAGGCATGATACACTAAATATAAAGAAGTAATCAGCAAATATTAGGCATTTTACAATCTCAATTGCACCATACCAAAAAATACCTGTATGTGGTTTAACATGTTTACACACCTTGAAAATCTAAAATTCAGACATTTTATACATGGAGTGCCTGTGCCTCATGAGCAAGGATCTTGATCATGTTATTTAAAGCCCTGCACCACTGCCTAGTGGTGGGCCTGGGAGATCCTTCTGATCTTAGCATTCTTGACCTTAAATTTTGAAGATAATCAAAATTATTGATAATTTTTAAGGGATACAAGTATTATTATCCAACTCCTAACCTGTGCACTTGAAGGGGTGATAGATTAGTCCCCTAGACATTCTGAGCATTGCTGCTGGATACATTGACAGAGGGCTAGAGGGCAGAATTCACAGGACAAGAATTGCCATCACCCTTAGTTCTCCCTGTTTCTGTATTGAATATAGGACTAGTGAGAGGACCAGGAAGGGAGCACTCTGGAGGGGAATGTGGAGGATGGAAGGATGGGTACCACTAAGGTGCAGGTGTAATATGTCTACCATCTAGTCATCTCCTTCTCTGCATAAACACCAGGGGAAAGGATGGTTTCTGAAAGAGCATCTTAGGAATGCCATGAAAACAAAGGGTGTGCATCTGTCCATGTGTGGGTGTTCTCTGCTAGTGAGTTTGGAAATGAGAGTGCCTTTGAAACAAACAGACCACTGTAACCACCCAAGGGGTTCTTTTTGCCCACTGCCAAGATAGAGCCCATTTGTCAAGACTGGGGGATTGCAACTGGGAAAGAGTCTAATACACGTAGAGCCAGCTAAAAGGGAGACTGGAGCTTTCTTATGACTCAGATCAACTTCCCTGAAAATTCAGAGGCTAGGATTTTTGAAAGCTGGTTTGGTGGGGTGGGAGCTAGGGAATGGGGAGTGCTGATTGGCTGGGTTGGAGAAGAAATGACAGGGAGTTGAAGCTGCCCTCTTGTGCTGAGTTGGTTCCTGGGTGGGGGCCACAATACCAGATGAGCCAGTTTACCCTTCTACGTGGTGCCAGCTGGTCCATCAAAATTCAGCGTCTGAAAACACCTTGAACACCAATCTTAGGGTTACAATAGTAATGTTATCCACAGGAACAACTGGAGAGGTCCGTGATTTTGTGGCCTCCGGTTGCATGATTCCTGAGCCATAATTTCTAATCTTGTGGCTAATTTGTTAATTTTCCAAAGGTCATCTGGTCCCCAGGCAAGGAGGGGGTTGTTTCAGGGAAGGCTGTTATCATCTTTGTTTCAAAGTTAAACTATTACCTAAATTCCTCCCAAAGTTAGCATGGCTTACACTCAAGGATGAGCAAGGGCAGCTTGGAGGCTAGAGGCAAGATGGACTCGATCCCATAGTTAGTGTGGCTTACACTCGAGGATGAGCAAGGGCAGCTTGGAGGCTAGAGGCAAGATGGACCCGATTAGGTCAGATTTGTTTTGCGTCGTAATGTTTCTGTGTCAGAGTCCTCTCATTGTCAAAATTTTTGCAAAAGCGTTTTCACTACTAAGTCCTAGGAAAACATTTTTTCTTTCTGTAAGAAACCTCAAGAGGTTGTGTACTTATCTATTTGCTCTTCAGCGGCATAATTCTAGGTGTCTGTTAAAAGTTTAAAAGTGATCAGCTGGAAAATATTCATGTGGTGTTGGGGCACAGGGGGCAAAGCACCCGCCACCTACAGCAGTTTTAACAGTGCTGGCACCTGCCGGCACTGTAGGTAGCAAAGAATATTATGAGTAATTCTTCACTTCCTTAAGTATGTTAGAAAGGTAAAAATCTTCAAGAGAAACTCCAGATTTTGGGTGGGTTTGAAACTGCATTACAAGTTGGTCCTGCAAAATCCATGTTGCCTGTAAGCTACAGCCTTTGAAATGAAACACACTTCACAAATTGAGCTTTGCCCGTATTTCTTTCAGGGAAGCAGCTGTCCTGTTTCCTCTAATAAGGTAATATGCCTGAAAATGCAATATAAGCCTCCAGGGTCAATGATTAGAGAGGTTTGGCCCACACAGGCTGAACGGACCCTCCAAGCAATTGGACGGTCCCTCCGTCAGTTGCAGCAGCTCCTTCGCCTCCACGGAGAGGGAGTTTGGCTGATTCTGTGTCCTTCGCCTCCACGGAGAGGGGATGTGGCTGATTCTGTGTCCTTTGTCTCTGTGGAGAGGGAGTTTGGCTGATTCTGTGTCCTTCGCCTCCGTGGAGAGGGAGTTTGGCTGATTCTGTGTCCTTCGCCTCCGTGGAGAGGGAGTTTGGCTGATTCTGTGTCCTTTGTCTCTGTGGAGAGGGGGTTTGGCTGATCCTGTGTCCTTCTCCTCGCTGGAGAGGGGGTTTGGCTGATCCTGTGTCCTTCTCCTCGCTGGAGAGGGGGTTTGGCTGATCCTGTGTCCTTCTCCTCGGTGGAGAGGGGGTTTGGCTGATCCTGTGTCCTTCTCCTCGGTGGAGAGGGGGTTTGGCTGACCCTGTGTCCTTCGCCTCCGTGGAGAGGGCGTTTGGCTGATTCTGTTGTTCTATTTTGTGGTAGATTGGGTGTGGGGAGTGTTGGCGTCTAAGAGCAGAACGAGGCTGTGTGAAACCTTTTCGAATGTGTAGGTGTGTTAGGCTGAAGCACTTGTTCTGATCACACAGAGCACACCCTGGAGTGGAGTCATCGAAGGACTGTTTGACTTACCGACTGGACGGACTCACTGCTTCTGTCCATTGGAGTTGGGAAGGAATTCCATCCAGAGAGATTCTAAAGAGAGTCAGCACGAGGACAGATGAGGAGAGAAACGGCTGTGAATGGAGCTTGACTTTCCCTGGAGTCCTGACTTTTTTCAGAATAAATGCTCCTGTAGAGCCTGATATTCTGCAAGTTACAAGTGGCTGCTTGCCCTTCTCATTTGCACCCCAGCTGACTCCTAGATAAAGTAGGTGGAACATTTTATGTGACGATTATTGCCAGGGAACTTTATCTGTTGCTAACAGGCATGGTGAAAACATTTGCACAACATGACAAGAATGACAGCATTCAATTAGAGAGGGCTCACCTTAAGCCGGGTCATGTTCCAGTGCTTTAGAAAGAGGACTACCGCTATCAGTGCTTTCTCTTACCACATGAGATGGGTATCACCGCTTTCATTTTAAATATGAAAAAGTAGAGGCTTAGGGAGGTTAAATGCCTGGTCTAGGATCGAACAGCTAGGAAGAGGCAGAGCCATGGTTCAACAGGTCAGTCTCACTCCAAAGCTGGTGCCTATAACCACCGCCCTCCAAGATGAAAATAAAAATGGGAAAGACCTGCATAATATTTGTACAATGCAGTGGTTTTAGTCTCAGGTAAACGTTCCTCAATGATTCTAATTCTCCCCTCCCTCTTTTTTGCCATGACCCATTGGGAATTACTGGTATTACACATATAAGGCTGTAAAGGGCCTTCATGTACTTTTTCTCATTCACAAATTGTGATTTCTCCAGCTGTTCTATCCCTGACAGCTGTTTTATTTTCTTTAATGATGGAGCAAGTTCTAAAATACAATGTAAATCATCAGAGAGTAAAATTAAAGTTACCAGGTAAAACCCAAAACATCAGATAAATTGATTTTCAGGTAAACAACACATAATTTTAAAAGTTGTAAGTATTTACTAAATACTGCATGGGACATACTTACACTAAAGTATTTTTCATTGTTTTTTGAAATTAGAATTTAATGAGGTGTCTATGATTTTATTTGCTGTGTCGGGCAGCCCTGCATTAAATTAGAGAGGTGTATGTCCAAAGAACGAAACTTGGATTTGGCGTTTCATGATATTCCACAGAGGTCAAGGGAAAACTCCCGTGAAATGGGTAGAAGAGAAACATTGGGAAAGTAAATAGTTGAATCGACTTGCTTTGTATAATTAGTCTTTTCATACAATCTTGCCCATGTCAAACGGTGTTTTCGGTCATTGATATTTTGTGTAGAATGGTAACGATTAGAGTCATCGCAAGGATTATTTTGTCTTTATCAATAGTTCCGCTGAAGCTCCCCCAAGGTAAGACTCAATGCAAACCTAGTTTTAATATTTCCAAATGTTTAATTTTTATCTGAGGGTACTGCAGGGCCTTTGAGGTCTTATGGAAAAAAGTCCTTCCATCAGTAGGAACTTGCAATTTTCAGTTGTGATGAGCGTTTCTGCTCTGGAACGCAGGCACATGGACTCGTAATGCTGTCCCTTTAACTCTCAGTTCTGCATGGCTGACTGGACACAGTAAGCTCTGTAGTTACTTCCCTAATAGTTCTGACTCTGTTTCACAAAAGCTGCCTCTTTCCTTGTGTAATGAAACCATGAAGTCTTGAAGAATGCCTGATTTCCTGGGTAAAGGAGCTTCCGGAGTAATAATATTTAGTGGGATTGAGGTAGTGGCAGTGCTAGCGGCAGTGGTGATGTGGTGGTGGTGGTGTGTGTACTAGTGCAGTGGTGATGTGATGGTGTGTGTACTAGTGCAGTGGTGATGTGGTGGTGGTGGTGTGTGTGCTAGTGCAGTGGTGATGTGGTGGTGGTGATGGTGTGTGTACTAGTGCAGTGGTGATGTGGTGGTGGTGGTGTGTGTGCTAGTGCAGTGGTGATGTGGTGGTGGTGGTGTGTGTGCTAGTGCAGTGGTGATGTGGTGGTGGTGATGGTGTGTGTGCTAGTGCAGTGGTGATGTGGTGATGGTGTGTGTGTGCTAGTGCAGTGGTGATGTGGTGGTGATGGTGTGTGTGCTAGTGCAGTGGTGATGTGGTGGTGGTGGTGTGTGTGCTAGTGCAGTGGTGATGTGGTGGTGGTGGTGTGTGTGCTAGTGCAGTGGTGATGTGATGATGGTGGTGTGTGTACTAGTGCAGTGGTGATGTGGTGATGGTGTGTGTACTGGTGCAGTGGTGATGTGGTGGTGGTGGTGTGTGTACTAGTGCAGTGGTGATGTGGTGATGGTGGTGTGTGTGCTGGTGCAGTGGTGATGTGGTGATGGTGTGTGTATTAGTGCAGTGGTGATGTGGTGGTGATGGTGTGTGTGCTAGTGCAGTGGTGATGTGGTGATGGTGTGTGTACTAGTGCAGTGGTGATGTGGTGATGGTGTGTGTACTAGTGCAGTGGTGATGTGATGGTGATGGTGTGTGTACTAGTGCAGTGGTGATGTGGTGGTGATGGTGTGTGTACTAGTGCAGTGGTGATGTGGTGGTGGTGGTGTGTGTACTAGTGCAGTGGTGATGTGGTGGTGATGGTGTGTGTATTAGTGCAGTGGTGATGTGGTGATGGTGGTGTGTGTACTAGTGCAGTGGTGATGTGATGATGGTGGTGTGTGTACTAGTGCAGTGGTGATGTGGTGATGGTGTGTGTATTAGTGCAGTGGTGATGTGGTGGTGATGGTGTGTGTACTGGTGCAGTGGTGATGTGATGGTGATGGTGTGTGTACTAGTGCAGTGGTGATGTGGTGGTGGTGGTGTGTGTACTAGTGCAGTGGTGATGTGATGGTGATGGTGTGTGTACTGGTGCAGTGGTGATGTGGTGATGGTGGTGTGTGTACTAGTGCAGTGGTGATGTGGTGGTGATGGTGTGTGTACTGGTGCAGTGGTGATGTGGTGGTGGTGGTGGTGTGTGTGCTAGTGCAGTGGTGATGTGGTGGTGATGGTGTGTGTACTAGTGCAGTGGTGATGTGGTGATGGTGTGTGTACTAGTGCAGTGGTGATGTGGTGATGGTGGTGTGTGTGCTAGTGCAGTGGTGATGTGATGGTGGTGGTGTGTGTGCTAGTGCAGTGGTGATGTGGTGGTGGTGTGTGTATTAGTGCAGTGGTGATGTGGTGATGGTGTGTGTACTAGTGCAGTGGTGATGTGGTGGTGATGGTGTGTGTACTGGTGCAGTGGTGATGTGGTGGTGATGGTGTGTGTACTAGTGCAGTGGTGATGTGGTGGTGATGGTGTGTGTACTAGTGCAGTGGTGATGTGGTGGTGGTGTGTGTGCTAGTGCAGTGGTGATGTGGTGATGGTGTGTGTACTAGTGCAGTGGTGATGTGGTGATGGTGTGTGTACTAGTGCAGTGGTGATGTGGTGGTGATGGTGTGTGTGCTAGTGCAGTGGTGATGTGATGTGGTGGTGTGTGTACTAGTGCAGTGGTGATGTGGTGGTGGTGTGTGTGCTAGTGCAGTGGTGATGTGGTGGTGGTGTGTGTGCTAGTGCAGTGGTGATGTGGTGGTGATGGTGTGTGTACTAGTGCAGTGGTGATGTGGTGGTGATGGTGTGTGTGCTAGTGCAGCGGTGATGTGGTGGTGGTGGTGTGTGTGCTAGTGCAGTGGTGATGTGGTGGTGGTGGTGTGTGTGCTAGTGCAGTGGTGATGTGGTGGTGATGGTGTGTGTGCTAGTGCAGTGGTGATGTGGTGGTGGTGGTGTGTGTGCTAGTGCAGTGGTGATGTGGTGGTGATGGTGTGTGTACTAGTGCAGTGGTGATGTGGTGATGGTGTGTGTACTAGTGCAGTGGTGATGTGGTGGTGATGGTGTGTGTACTGGTGCAGTGGTGATGTGGTGGTGATGGTGTGTGTACTAGTGCAGTGGTGATGTGGTGGTGGTGGTGTGTGTGCTAGTGCAGTGGTGATGTGGTGGTGATGGTGTGTGTGCTAGTGCAGTGGTGATGTGGTGGTGGTGGTGTGTGTGCTAGTGCAGTGGTGATGTGATGATGGTGGTGTGTGTACTAGTGCAGTGGTGATGTGGTGGTGATGGTGTGTGTACTGGTGCAGTGGTGATGTGGTGGTGATGGTGTGTGTACTAGTGCAGTGGTGATGTGGTGGTGGTGGTGTGTGTGCTAGTGCAGTGGTGATGTGGTGATGGTGTGTGTAATAGTGCAGTGGTGATGTGGTGGTGATGGTGTGTGTGCTAGTGCAGTGGTGATGTGGTGATGGTGTGTGTACTAGTGCAGTGGTGATGTGATGGTGGTGTGTGTACTAGTGCAGTGGTGATGTGGTGGTGATGGTGTGTGTACTGGTGCAGTGGTGATGTGGTGATGGTGTGTGTGTGCTAGTGCAGTGGTGATGTGGTGGTGGTGTTGTGTGTACTGGTGCAGTGGTGATGTGGTGGTGATGGTGTGTGTACTGGTGCAGTGGTGATGTGGTGATGGTGTGTGTACTAGTGCAGTGGTGATGTGATGGTGGTGTGTGTACTAGTGCAGTGGTGATGTGGTGGTGATGGTGTGTGTGTGCTAGTGCAGTGGTGATGTGGTGATGGTGTGTGTACTAGTGCAGTGGTGATGTGATGGTGGTGTGTGTACTAGTGCAGTGGTGATGTGGTGGTGGTGTGTGTATTAGTGCAGTGGTGATGTGGTGATGGTGTGTGTACTAGTGCAGTGGTGATGTGGTGGTGATGGTGTGTGTACTGGTGCAGTGGTGATGTGGTGGTGATGGTGTGTGTACTAGTGCAGTGGTGATGTGGTGGTGATGGTGTGTGTACTAGTGCAGTGGTGATGTGGTGGTGATGGTGTGTGTACTGGTGCAGTGGTGATGTGGTGATGGTGTGTGTACTAGTGCAGTGGTGATGTGATGGTGGTGGTGTGTGTACTGGTGCAGTGGTGATGTGATGATGGTGGTGTGTGTGCTAGTGCAGTGGTGATGTGGTGGTGGTGTGTGTGCTAGTGCAGTGGTGATGTGGTGGTGGTGGTGTGTGTGCTAGTGCAGTGGTGATGTGGTGGTGATGGTGTGTGTACTAGTGCAGTGGTGATGTGGTGATGGTGTGTGTACTAGTGCAGTGGTGATGTGGTGGTGATGGTGTGTGTACTGGTGCAGTGGTGATGTGGTGGTGATGGTGTGTGTACTAGTGCAGTGGTGATGTGGTGGTGGTGGTGTGTGTGCTAGTGCAGTGGTGATGTGGTGGTGATGGTGTGTGTGCTAGTGCAGTGGTGATGTGGTGGTGGTGGTGTGTGTGCTAGTGCAGTGGTGATGTGATGATGGTGGTGTGTGTACTAGTGCAGTGGTGATGTGGTGGTGGTGATGTGTGTGCTTGTGGTATTGGTGATGTGGTGGTGGTGGTGTGTGTGTGTTGATAGATGGTGGAGGGAATCAGGGGTGCATTTCCTTTGTAGAGTAATTTTGACCAAAAAACTACTTGGCTCTGGAAACTTGCTAGAAGAATATTTTAGAAGTACATCTGTGCATTGAGTACTGCATATTTTAAGCAACAAATCAACCTGTAACGTGCATTGCAGCAGAATTTATTAAAAGAGAGGTGCACGTGGTATGTAGAGAAACATTAGTGGGACTTAATGAAATGAAAGAAATAGAAAAATATTCATTTTCTGACAGTATTTATAGGTTTTTAAGGCCCTGATTGCCATTGCTTTGTGAGTTGCCTTCTTTCTGATTGATGATGTGTCCTGGATTTGGTTCCTTTTCCCCACATGCAATTTCAGATGTTTTTCACTGGAGGAATATGGATTGATAATATACAGGAAAGTAAAAACACACAGGAGAATTTTAATACACAATGAAAAGAATTCAGTTGTAAGTGATCTGAAAGCCCAGTCCTCTCACCCACTCTTTGATTTAACAGCTCCCAGTCTATTAAGACTTTGCTTTACTCAAGGATTTCGTGTTAATCATCTTTTGTTTTATAGCCCTTTATTTTCCTGCTGGAATCAATATCCCATCAACTTCACCGACCGGCTACTCTGTGATCTATGAGATGGTGCTAGTACAGGACTGAATTTATACCAGAGCAATTTGCCTTAAATGTTACCAGCTCTTTATCCAAAACATTTCTTCCAGCTTATTCTCATAATTTTACTACTTCTCGCAAAGCTGCTTCTCTGCTTTTAGAGAGTAGAGAGTGGCAAGTGAAATGTAAAATGCCTGGAGAGAGGATATAAGAGGTTGGGCTTGGAAGCACAGAAGTTAAATCCGCGAAGTGATGTCAGTCAACAGGAGAAGTGTTGGCTGTTTTCACACTGTGTGGCTGCTCGTGACACAGACTTGATGAATTCATTTCCACCTTGCTGGCAAAACCAATTTGTTTCAGTGAGACCACATTTCAGAGCAGTTTGGATCCTGCTGGTATATTCAGATTGCCTGAAAATCAAGCAAAAGTAATCAGTTTGGTGCCCTGTATCGTAGGACGATCTTGCACCCCTTTCCTTCCCTAGGGTTACCCTCATTTGGCTGGGTGGACGTTGTCCTTCAGATCATTTGTATAAATCCAACTTGCACATCACAGGGGTCTCTAAGTTCTTTGCAAATATTAATTTAGAACTTAAAAGTGCATTATCCCCCTTTAAAAATACATTATCCGAATTGTGATGCCAGCATTTTAAATACAGTAAATGATTAGTTACTTCACTTAATCTTGTCACTGAATATAATTGCAGTCACTGAGAGCTGGACATTGATCTACGTTCTTGATGCCTGTTAAGACATTTTATCTCATAAAAGGATGTTACTGGTAATTATGACACCTTGTGCTTTTCAATAGTTACATTTATTTTAAAAGACACTGTTTTCTTCTTAAATGGAATAATTTCCTTTCAACGTGGGAGGAGGTCTGGTTCCCAGTGTCCACATGAGGCAAATATACAGGCAGCTCTCTGTGTCCACAGGCTCCCCATCTGCAGGTGGTTGAAGCCAGATGGAAAATAGTACAGTTGACCCTCCATGTCTGTGAGTTTCTATCCAAGGATGAGAAACCCATGCATAGGGAGGGCTGACCGTATTTTAATTTGTTTCAAGATGTCTTTTTCCATTCTGTTTTGAGTATTTAATAAAACAGTCAAAAAGCAAATTTAATATCTGTGCAAACTCATTTTCTTGTGAAATTGCTTAGACTTGGTCCTTTAAGGGAATATTTGGAGAAGCTAATGTTAGAGGTCAGAATCTAAGAAGACTTTTGGTTTTAGCTTTCTTCGTTGTAAAATGGGAGTAGTAATTCCTGTCCTCATGTCTTCTCAGGGCTGCATGGAAATATGAAAATGCTTTAAAAATGAAATTAATACACAGATTCAGACTTACTTTAAAGAGAGTGAAGTATATGAGCGTTCTATAGGACAAGGAACATGACAACATATATAGTCCACTTCTGATGTTAAAAATTATTGCAGGACTGTGTTAATTACACTTCTACGGACACCTTCTAACTTCAACCATGTCTTTTTTCCCATGTGACTCTTCTTAGCACTTGGTCTGTCTATAAGAATATTCCTTTTGTAGTTGTTTCTCTACTTATCACCCTCTTAACTCTACAGTTTTTGAATAATATATTACAGCTTGTCATATCTGGTGGTCAGAGGCAGACGGTGCTTAAACAGGCAGTTGACATCCAATTACTCTCTGAGCATCCGAGCCCACTAGGTGTCTGGCATGGCCACCCTGGGGGATAGTCCCCCTTTCTGGAACAGACGGTTGCTTTGTAAGAGGGTTTCGTCTTTCCCTGGAGCATCGTGCGGACTAGATTAGGCCACCTGCAGAGTCTCTGCCAAAGCTCATTCATTTCTGACCTGGCACCCAGCAAAGTCCTCACAGACACCATGAGGATGACTCCCAACTAGAAATGAGTCTATTTGGTGAAGGTTTTGTCTCTCAGTAATAAAACATGGAGGAAGCTAGAGCTATTTATTAGGTAGCAATTACTCAAAGGCAGTGTCACACATTTATAGGAAAACTTGTAAATCTAAGGAAAAGTGATTTGCCCGCAGTGGGAATAAATTAAACAGAGATTGGAAACATCGTTTCCTCCTTTTCTGCCTTACTTTTTGTATTTTATAAGAGGTTAAAAATGGCTCTAAAGTATTACTTGTGAGTGTTTTATTTTTACCGGCAAAAAGAAGTTTTAACCACATGTGAAATTTCACCACTTACTAATGACGTCTACCTTTGAAGCAAAACTCTTTCATTGAAGGCATGAATTATATTATGGATATGATGTTGTGCTACATCAACGTGAATTTTTGACACACTAATTTATAATGACTGGGAAATGAGAAGACCATAGGGGAAAGATAAGACTGGCATCCAGACAGCTAAAATGCAGAAGGATGATTGATTTAAAGATCGGCTTTAAGGAAAGAATTATTTTTAAAATGTGTATTTAAATGTGAGTAGGCAGACCATGATTACTTTTTAGACTGCCAGAACAATGAGGTTGAGGATCGGGTGATTTGGGACAGTTCGGACTTATCCTGATTTGACTGTGAACCTAGCAAAAATAACAAAAGCAAAACCAAAAACAGATCATCCGAGGACATGGGTATCAGCAAGGCCGCTGGGCTCGGGCAGGGCTGCCCAATGTCAGCTGTGCAGTGTGGTAGCTTGTCTCCTGAGACGGTCCACAACATTCCACCTCTCTCCGCATATGCTTCCTGCCCATCCTGTCAAAAGACAGAACAGATTTCCCGTCACTAGAATCCAAGCTGGCCTTGTGACTGCTTTAGGATAGAATGTGACAGAGATGGCATTTGGAGCTCCTAAGCCTAAGCCTTAAGTGACAGCCACTTCATTTCTCTTGGAATGCTTGCTCTTGAGATCCTCAGTCTTGGGAACCTGTCTCCATACTGTAAGAAGTCCAAGACGCAGGGAGAGGCCATGTAGAAGCGAATGGAAATGCTCCCTTAGATGCCCTGGATGAGCTCACAGCTGATGGCCAGCACCAATGCCAATCACATGAGTGAAGCATTTCGCGTATTTCAGCCCAGTTGAACCCCAGACAACCACAGCTTCAGATGCTATCACATGGAGCAGAACCCACAGAATTGGAGAAGGTGCTGGAGGATTGCTTCTCTCTAAAGAGAACCTTTTCTCATTCCCTGAAGGGCCCTTGTAGACTGGTCATGGCTCTCGGTGTTCGAGCAAATCAGGTTACAAGTTATGTCACCAGATAAGGATTCTATGTATCTAAAGTTTACCAGCTCACAGTGAGCTTGTGCCTTCCTATTTTTCTTTAAAAGAGATTTTTGCATTTTTGGTGGGTGACTGGGAGTGTGCTGTGCTGTTGACAGCTCAGGGAGACATGGCGCCAGGGAGGTTCAAGTGCGGAAGGTCAGAAGGTAGACATTGTTGCTCAGATGGAGGCATCTCCTCAGTTCCGCAGAAAACGGTGTTGCTTGTGGAAGTGACAGTGGGTGAGATTTTGTCACAGAGATCTAAAGGAAACTCGATCTTTGTTTAAGCAGGAATTATCCTGCTTTCATGTTCTATTTCATGTGGCAAAGAAATGCAGGCTTTGTCCAAAAGCTACTTATAAACTTGTGCTTTGTGTTAGTTTTACATTTTATGTGTTTATGTTATATTTTAGCTTTTTGACATATTTTATTTTAGGTTTTTTCTTTTAAGCCAGTTTATTTGTCAGCTGTCTGACAGGCAATAACCACAGGACAGCCCTTAAGAAATTGGGGGTAGGCTTTACCTGGCATAATTTCAGGTTGCAAGAAACCTCTCCCCAAAATAATCACCACCTACCTTTTGGACCCGGAAATTCTGTTGAAAGAGTTCCATTGCATTTCTTTAAAGTGTTTATCCTGCTAGAACACAAGATTTAGAATAGTAAGACATTTTCTTTATTTAAACATTAAATTCAGTACATCTTCAGCTTCCCTTTTGAAAATACATAAAGATACCAGGTATCTGAAGAGAGAAAGTAAAAGGTTCACCAAAAATCTGAAAAGAAGTTTTAAGTTCCTGAAACAAAACTCTAAAACTTCATAGAATTGAAAAGAGGAGGTTATTATAACTTGCCTATGAATTCAGAGAAAACAATAGCATTCCCACTGCCTAAAAAAATCGTGTGTTGTGTTTACGCTAGAAACTTTATCCTCTATAGAAATAAATTTTGTTCTATTTTGACAGTCTAGAAATATCTGTGAATTAAAAACACAATTTTGAAAAAATATGATGTGAAAATATGTTTTATAATCTCACTCTGTGCATAATTTTAGCTAAAGAAAATATTCCTTTATATTTTAAACTGACAAAAATATTGCATTTTTCACAGTTCTATTTAGCTTTTTTCCTGATCAAATCGGTGATCATGCTTTTATATGTAAATCTGTAGTTTATTTTTCAAATGTTTAATTTGCTCCTTACCTGTATTTTTTTCTTGTTAAAGATTATTTGAAAGCATCATAAAATTTATTTTATTTATTCATAGACCACTCTAATATTTTCAGAAATTACAGGTTGCGATAAAACCACCAAATTATACAACACATGTAAGGGAAAGACAGAAATTAAAAACAACAACAACAACTTTGATTTGGAAATAGTTTCACATTTAAAGAAAAATTACTAAAATAAGAATAGTACATAGGACACCTGATTACCCAGATTAATCTACTTTTAGCATTATTTTCCTTTTTCTCTCTTATTTGCTTTTTTCTCTCTCTTTTTACTTTTGCCCTCTCTATTTTTATGTATGTTTTATGCATATTTTAATTTTTTCTTGATATTTTTGTCCTGTACTATTTCAGAGTAAATTGCATTCATCATGGCCCTAAAACTTCAGTGTGTATTTTTGAAGAATAAGGATATCTCTTTAGAACAGTTAATGTTGCTACAGTGATCCTGTCCAACTACCATCAGCGTTCCATTTTTGTCAACTGACCCCATAAAGTCCTTCCCAGCCTTTTTTCTTCCTCCAGTACATGATCCAGTCTAGGAAGAGATTGTCATGCGTTTTTCTAGCCTCCTGGAACATTTCAGAAGCCTATTTTTGCCTTTTATGACGTGGACACTTTGAAGAATACAGTCCGTTTCAGAAAGAGAGACAGTTTCTCATTTTGAATTTGTCCAACGGGTCTGCCTGGTTTGTGTTTGTCCGACGGCTCTGCATGGTTTGTGTTTGTCCGACGGGTCTGCGTGGTTTGTGTTTGTCCGACGGCTCTGCATGGTTTGTGTTTGTCCGACGGGTCTGCGTGGTTTGTGTTTGTCCGACGGCTCTGCGTGGTTAGATTCAGGCTCCTCATTCTGGGCCAGAAGTGATGTGTGTTTTTCTCTAGGGGCACGGGATGTCCATCTGTTCTTCAATGTTGATGGTAACTTGAATCACTTTAATCTCTGGGAGACCATGCAAATCACACGAAAATCTCCCCCTAGATTTGGCCTCTGTTGGTTACTGAACTGAAGTTTACCGTGGTGGCTGCGAAGTGACAGTTGCTTCTTCACGTTTCCCAGTTGACGCTTAGCATTCTACTATTAGTGAGATCCTTCTTTTCCCTGCACTGATTTGTTTACCTATTGATTATTGGCATGGACTCATTAACAAGATCTTGTAAATGGTCTGTAATTTGTTACTGTCCTTAATTATTTTGGTGTTCAAATTATCCCCTATTGGGCCTGCAGGAGCACCTTTCAGCTGCCTCCTGAGTCTGCATGACGTGCCCCTGCTTTGGAATCTACCTCAGGCTGAAAAGCCAGGGGCTAGAGAGGTGGAAATGAGTTTTCTAAATTTCTTTCACTTTATTAGCATATCTGTGACCAGCCTAGATCACAGAGGGGTATTGTGAGTCATAGGATGGAGGGAACCAGAGTCCGATCTTAGGGAAGTCCTTTCCCTGCTGCAGAGGAGGTGGAGAACCCTTACATCATGGCCAGGCATTGCAGCAGGTAAGGGAGAGAGAGACAGGTAGACACAGACAAGCATCGCAGCCGGGTAAGGGAGAGAAAGGCAGGTAGACACAGCCAGGCATCGCAGCAGGTAAGGGAGAGAGAAGCAGGTAGATGCAGCAGGTAAGGGAGAGAGAGGCAGGTAGACACAGCCAGGCATCGCAGCAGGTAAGGGAGAGAGAGGCAGGTAGACACAGCCAGGCATCGCAGCATGGTAAGGGAGAGAGAGGCAGGTAGATGCAGCAGGTAAGGGAGAGAGAGGCAGGTAGACAGCGGATGAGCATCGTGGCTCCCACTCCCGGCTGAAATCTCACAGAGGAGGCGAGGCTGAGGGACAGCGCGTGGCAGGAGGCCTGTTCTCCTGTGCACTGTTTTGAACGTTGGTGGGATGGGGCCGTGATCACAGAGGGAATGTGCTATGGCAGGGCAGAGGGAGCCTGGTTAGCCTGCTGGGGCCCTGAGGGCACAGGGGAGGTCCCCGGTCACCAGCTCTGCTGGGAGCTGAGGCCTTTCTTGCAGGGGCCACCGTGGTAAATGGGTGTGACCCTGCTGCAAAGGTCACACCACAAACAGCCCTCCAGGAGACAGACATGGCCACAGAAGAGATCTGGGGTGAGGTGGTGGGGAAAGGGCCCACAGCCACACAAGGCACTGTCCCAGAAAATAAAGTAAAGACAACCTCACCAGGCATGCCTTAGCAGAATCTTCCAGGTCCCAGGAAACGTGGCCAGCTGGTGGCTCTGCAGCAGAAATTAGTGAAGACTCAAAGGACCCATGCAGACTCAAAGCCTCTTCCTCACATCACATATGCCTGTTGCCTGGGCCATTGCTGTGGATACCTGAAAGTCAGAATGTTTACCCCAAGAGACACAGCCAGTTGCTACGAGACTTTTTGAAGTGTAAGAGAATGAGACACCATTAAATGGAAAGTTGAAAGGGTTTCACTCCAACTCCCTCTGGTAGCCAGCCCCGTGAGGCTGGGTGAGAGGGTCAATTAGTCATAGAAAACGAGATGCCACTTTTTCTTTGCCTGAGTAAAAGTGTGTATGACTTTTGATTCCATTAAATACTCTTTGGCCGAGAGATCACTCCAGAATTCTGGCAGGCAGTCTCTCTCACTGGACAGTCTCCTACTCTGGGGCTCTGATGGCTGCGCCCGCTAGTTTTGCAAACCCGAAAGTCATACAGTTATGCCCATCGCCCACGCTGTGTTACGAGGCTCCGTGGAGAGTCCCATGTATGCATTTTTAAGTTTTCCCAGGTACGTTGTCTGGAGTATTCAGTTTTGTGTGAAATAGACTTGGTCCCAAACTATGTGAACCCGGGAGAATTAACTGTAATTGGTTCAGGGAGATAAAACATGTCTGCCCAGGGGTTGATGATTTTGAAAGGGTATTTCTTATCCTGGGCCAGACAGACATGAATCATCAAATAGGTATACAGTGTGGTGTCCTTATTTCTGACCATCGAATCCAGATGTCGGCTCTGACCAGTGGTTCCAGGTTTCTGCTCAGTCTCACTGGGTTAATAATAATTACTAACATTTGGATGGAGCGTTAAAGTTTCACGGCACCTTCTTGTGCATTGATCACATTAGATGGTGGTGCTGGGCATGAATGATATGTGCCTTCACCTGCCGACCCAAACACCCTGCCAATAGGGTTTTGTCTCTTTCTAAGAATTTCTTCAAATTCTTTGAGTAGCTGATTCAGCTACTCAAAGCTATTTTAGAATAAGACAGAAAATGAATAAATAGAGAGACGTTTGGTCTTTCTTGTCTAGAAGATTCAATTCCCTGTTTATGGTCATAGAAGATAAACTGTAGCTGGTATTGGGAGGTGCTGTTCCTCTAACCTGACTATCTAAGACTGTTCTTTTCTTTGCTATGAAAATGAAGGAAAATATTATTGTCCCAATTAAAGATATAAATATACACAAGCAAAGAAGAGGCTAAATGACATATCTGAAGTCTCACTTTGAAGAATGAGCAATTAAAACTCTGGGTCCAGCTCACTTTTCCAGAGTAAAAATTTTTTTGAAAGCCTTATAATTCATAGACACGTCTGAAAAAGCTGAATCTTCCGTGCTGGTCTGCATTCCAATAGGTGGCTAAAACTGGTCAGAATTTGAAGGAGTCCCATTCATCAAATCTATTTTTAGAAGTGCATTAGCATGTGGCTTTGCAAACTCACCTTCATTCTTATGAAAAGCAGTCAGTGCTGCCATGAAAATACTGTCACGATTTACTGCCTCCTCATGAGACCCAGGGCTAAGCCAAAGGGATACCATGCACCCTAAACCTCCTCATAGCTGCTGCCTCTGAAACTCGACTCTGTAATTTGGTAAGTATTTTAAAAAATACAACTAAATGGCTACCACATGGTGGAAAATTAGCAATCTGGGACTAGAACTTCTATGTGGTATTAAATCCACATATGGAAAAAATTAAATATTATCCTCAATGCCCTCCATGTGTTCAGTTGTATTAAATGAAATGCTTATAAAGCGTGACATTATTTAACTTTTATAAGGTTTGTCACATCTAGTAAAACTTATGACTGTTCTTTTGAAAAACTTTATGCAGGTGCCTTCTGAGCCCACATCAGTCTGGATGTCTTATAACATACATGTGATTTGTTACTGGATATAGCACTAGACAATCAACAGTAGAATTCCAACCAGGATAACTTAATATATCACAAAATGCAGTCACTGGTAGTAGGCAATGCTGTGGTAGGTTGGTCCACAATAATCTCCCTTTCTATAGAAAGGGTTTTATGAAACATGCAGGGTGTGAGATGTACCATAAATTGTTTTGACAAAACTGACTCTAATATAAATGGCTCCAAGTCTCTTGTATTTCTGAAATTTAAATGACACAGCCACGTGATCTTTGCAATCTGCCTTTGGGAATGTAACAGGGCTGCTGAACAAATACCCTATTCCTATTGATGCTGCTGACAATAACAAGAACTTTGGGGGGAAATTTGCCACCTTAACTTGGTTTACTTTGACCCAGGGAGGTATTTCCTGAGCCCAAAGTCTAGTTTCTCAATTTGCTGGGGGCTGACTCTGGTGCTAGATGCTTTAGAACTGAGATGGTCCTTCAGAGTTCAAAGTCATCGTCTCTCTCTGGTTCAACAGTGTGGTTTACACCCCGTTGGTGTCCAAACCGCCTGGAAGATTCTTTAACACAGGAGATCTGGTCTCCATCCTAGACCTACTGCAGCTGTATGTATACGAAACTCTGCAGGTGATTTGTAGTCAGTCTAAAGTGAAGACTCTCTGACAGTCTGAAGTCCATTGGCTAGACAGAAAAAAAACCAAGCCTGAGAAGGTGATCACGTGTCCCCACTATATACAGCTAGACCGTGCAGAACATAAGGCTGCATTATTATCCAGTGATCACGGGGGGTTTTAGCTGTACAAATGTGACCCACATAGAATTCAGTCCCTTGTTCCTGGGATAAAATAAGTTGCTAAGCTGGATTGAATAACCTACCATAATGGGAGGTCCATGCTAGAATGTGTCATCTCAACATGTTCATTCTTTTTTTTTTTTTTTTTTTTTTTTTGAGACAGAGTTTCACTCTTGTTGCCCAGGCTTGAGTGCAATGGCACAATCTTGGTTCACTGCAACCTCCACCTCCCGGTTTCAAGTGATTCTCCTGACTCAGCCTCCCGGGTAGCTGGGATTACAGGTGCTGCCCCCACCACACTCAGTGAATTTTTGTATTTTTAGTAGAGATGGGGTTTCACCATGTTGACCAGGCTGGTCTGGAACTCCTGACCTCAGGTGATCTACCCATCTCAGCCTCCCAGAGTGCTGGGATTACAGGCATGAGCCACCGTGCCCAGCCAACATGTTCATTCTTGAATCTCCACCTGGGAGGCAATGAGAAGGACACCTGACTTTGCTGAGACTTGATACCTAGAGGTCTCAACTCACCACAGAATTTATGCCATGTCCTTTTAAATTCCAGTCTTGGAGAGCTTGTTTAACCATGGGTCAAAAGAGTTTGTCCTGTTATATTTGTAATAGATCAAACTCTTAGGCAGTTTAAAAGGTATACTTGGTTTCATACAGAACATAGCAAATTTGCCAAGCCCAGTTCTTCCATGTAAATAACATGACTGAAGTCCATTTTATTGTCACATACTGTGAGGCAATGTGTGATGGAAAAATGTTTCAGGTTCTGGTGAAACAATCTTACTTCACAGGAAATACCTGGGATGAAGTCTCACCTTGAGACAAGCTAGAAAGAGTCAGTGACTATGTCTAAAGAAAAAGAAGGCATTTCCAAGGAGATCTTGAGTTTCTCAGGCAGGCCGACTCCTCTCATTGCATGTTGCTGCGTTCTCAGTGATAATGTCATTCTGGCTCATGTTACAATATCTTTGGTTCTCTGGGTCTAGATTTTTCCATACGGCAGCAAACTGCTTTAGGCAGCTCATAGATGATCAAAGGAACAACAAGCTGCTAAATGTAATGTAACTACCTGTAAATGTCAATGTTTTCTCAAATAAGTGTTTTTTTCCTTTAGTTCCAAATTTTGCACTGTACACTAATGTTACTTGGGAGGTGGCATAATAGTGTCTGATGAGAGAATTCCTGCAGCTACTTATTCTATATTTTCACAACAATTCTCCACAAAGCAGTGGTAAAAGTCCATGGACAGTGTAGTTTCACCCCACAAGAGCATTTCTTTTTGCTGTTGTCTGTAGAATTTCTTCCTTGTGTGTCCTCTTATGAAGAGTGACCATTAACTCTTCATGTTTCACTGTCTTAGACGTTCCTATAGGATCACTAGATCTGGGATCCTACAGATCACTAGAACTGGGAGACAATCTTTTTCTTTCCCTAACAACATCTCAGGCTGAGTTTTTTACTATTAAAATATTGTCATTTTTTGGCCACTACTGACAAAATATGAGTCCTTACCCACCATCAGCCAAGAGTCAGTAGTTTTCAAAAAGATTAATAAAATGCATGATCCTTTTGTTTATTTATATTTCTCATTGAGAGTACAGATGGGTAGCTCTTGGATTTTGGAATCAACTATATTTTCTATTAAAATATGCTGTTCCAGTTGACAGGATTGTCGACCGTCTGGTTTTGAATGTTACAGTTGGCCCTTGATTTGCTTTAGTCAGTGAAGGAGAGATGGGTGCTTGGTCCAGTTGGATTAGTCTGTGGCTTCCTTCTCTGCATCATGAATGTTGGCAGGATTGGGCTTTGGCATGACTTCCTGGGGCAGTATGAGTGTTGGGCACAGGGGAGCTGTTGTATTAAACAAAGCTGTGCCTCAGAGCAGGGTGCCTTCTGCCTGGCTTAGAGCCCTACCAACAATCTTTCTGCCATCTGGCTCCAGTGAGGGCTGAAAACCTCAGTTCACAGCCCAAGTGAAATCTGCATGGGCCAATGACAGAGACACTTGAAAGAAAGAAAGTCAGAAACGACAGACTTGCTTCTTCACTAGTAATTGGAGAATACTAATTAGGAAAATAATGAAATAGTGCAAAAGTTATCTTGATTGACAAGATTAGGATTATTTGTTGATTAATCAACAGTCACTTGATACGTAAAATGTAGGTGCTAGTGTGTGTATGTATATATATATAAATATAGGCATACATATTTATGCATGTAAATACCTATTATACACATCCATTATTTGAACTTTAAAAGTGTACACATATATTGGTTTGCCAATCTTTTAAATTAATATGTAACATTTGTACGTATTTATGGGGCACCTGGGACATTTTGCTACATGCATGGAATGTGCAATGGTCAAGTCTGGGTATTTAGAGCATCCACCACCTTGAATATTTATCATTTCTATGTGTTAGGAACATCTCAAGTCGTCTCTTCCAGCTCATTAGAAACATACAATAGATTGTTGCTAACTTTTCACATGGAGCCAAGGCCTTTTCTGTCATGGTGGGATGGCTGATTGTAATCCTAATTGTCTTCCTTCCAGAAAGCACAACTCTAATGCATTATCCATTTCTTTCAAATGGAGTGAGAATTTAAAGATACTTGCAGAGTGTCCTGAAGGCAAAACCCTTATGGAGTTTTACGTAATTTTGTAACTATTTTTAATAGGAACTCACCCTTCTGAGCTATTTCAAAATAATCACTTCGGTTTTTTAATGAATAGGAAACAATAAATTTCTTTGTGCACTCTTACTCGAGTTTCAGTAATAGTTCTTTAGATAATTACGATGGCAACTGTCCTAAATGGGCTTGGTACTGACTCATGGTACCCAAACAGCACCTGGGAGGGGAGAGGGGAGCACGTATCCTGGGGTGCTTGGGACCCAGAAGCAGCATTATTCAGCATGCTTTGCAGAGGAAGTGGGAGCTTGGCTAACTGGGGGAGCTGGCCTCAGAGAAAGTCAGCTAAAAGAGTTTCTACTGTTCTCAAGAGGAGGAAACTGATGTCTACCAACTATTTTTGTGGTAGGGACCCACAGCCTAGAAAAGTAGTGAGCTAAGGAGGGTCAGTATGAATCTATATGCTGGGATTTGTGGCTCTTCCGTGACTCATACCCATTAAGGGCCTCTCTTAGGGATACGTAAAAATGACTCTAGTTATAATTAACTTACTCCAAACAGTAGGCTCTGAATGTGCACAAGCTGCTGCAACTTCTGTGACACACATGAGCCTGGCCAGGTGGGAGAGGCTAGGATATGGAATGGGTCAGGGCCAGCATTCTTGGACCTTGCTCATCCCTGCCAGTCTTACTCGGAGAGTAAGCTCCAGTTTCCCTTTGCCTTTCTATATATATTGCTACACATACACACACACAAATTGAGACTTGACAGCCACATTAAAAAAAGATATTAGTTGAGGAACAGAGCTGGAGTCCAACATCTGGTTTTGGTAAAGTCTGGCCTTTGTGCCCAATTTTACAGCTAAGCTGACTGAAGTACCACGAACTCATGAGTTGTGTAGGGTCAGCGTGTCAGGCAATAGCTCAGCTGCCATATGATCCCCCAACCCTCGTAACTTTCAGCCCCATATTTTAACTATTAAGCCACATGGCCTGCTATAGAATATGCCACAAAACACCCCAGATGTGTGTTGAGAGAGATCCTTCCATGACCCAGGTAACATCACGTCCCTGTAGGACTTTCTGATGATTGGATGTTCCTGGTGACCTCTCCTGCAGTGTAAGCGCATTAACCCAAATGTTATGAGGATTTCCCCACAGGACAGTCTTATAAGATTTTCTTATGAGGTCACTTCCTAGGAAGGCAGGGATTTAAAAGCTGCCACAACAGGCAATGAAGCAAGCAACATGTGGCTTTGCTTTCAGTCTGTCATTTTAAGCAATGAAGAATTTATACGGATAAGTTTTCTGATAATGGAAAAAGTTTCTGATATAGCTGATGGAGTGTTTTTTTTTGTTTGTTTATAGGCTTTGGATTCACCTTGAAAACATCCCCTCTGAACATCAGAAGTCCACTTGGTCCCCGAACAGTGTATTAACTTCTAACATTTCTGACTTCCAGTCATGGAGATTTCAAAACCAATTGCATATAGCAATGAAGCTTTTCACTTTTAATGGAACATTTAGGAGAAGGGCGGCTTTTCCTATTTTCTGTGTTATCTTCAGCCTGTTAACTGTTGTCAGCCCTGGAGAGAAACCATCCCTTCTCCTTAAAAACATGAACCACATACTAAGTTGCTTCTTGCCTCTTAAAGATTCAGGTCACTCAGGTACATCAGACTGAGACAGGACGCTCAGGTACATCATACTGAGACAGGACACTCAGGTACATGATACTGAGACAAACACTCAGGTACATCATACTGAGACAGGACGCTCAGGTACATCACACCGAGACAGGACATGTTGATTGTTGGTGTGTATTTCTCCCAAGCCACCACTCAAACCAGTGTTTGATTTCCATGGAGGTTGGCTGATGGCTTTTAGCTTGAGCCCCAACAGTGTGACTTCATACAAGGCAATTTCTTCAGAAATATCATGGAACTTCAGGGACATTATATTATTAAATTAAAAAAACCTAATATGTTAATTTTTTCATTAAAGTTTATGAGTTTACTGAGTTTTTCTTTTCCAAAATAGTTAATGAGCTTTTGAGTCATGTTTTTTATGAAAGGATTGACTTTCTCATGGCGTCCAACTCTGTAGATAATCATCCGAAACAGATTTGACTGTATTTGTTTAACAAAAGTCTGCCTAAACCAAACTCTGCCCTGAATTTTTTGTTTTCCACACGTATGTGCTAAATCTGTGTAATTTGGTAGTTTGTCTCTCCAGAACCACTGTTGGTCTTGTGTCACTAATCAGCAGAGGCAGCAGTCTGACGGGTCCACAGAGACAAGGGAGGCAGCGGGAGGAATGCAGTGGCCAGGCAGGTGAGGGACCTCAGGACCAGCAGCTCAGCCGCATCCTTGCATGCAGTGGCCAGGCAGGTGAGGGACCTCAGGACCAGCAGCTCAGCCGCATCCTTGCATGCAGTGGCCAGGCAGGTGAGGGACCTCAGGACCAGCAGCTCAGCCGCATCCTTGCATGCAGTGGCCAGGCAGGTGAGGGACCTCAGGACCAGCAGCTCAGCCGCATCCTTGCATGCAGTGGCCAGGCAGGTGAGGGACCTCAGGACCAGCAGCTCAGCCGCATCCTTGCATGCAGTGGCCAGGCAGGTGAGGGACCTCAGGACCAGCAGCTCAGCCGCATCCTTGCATGCAGTGGCCAGGCAGGTGAGGGACCTCAGGACCAGCAGCTCAGCCGCATCCTTGCATGCAGTGGCCAGGCAGTTGAGGCACCTCAGGACCAGCAGCTCAGCTGCATCCTTCTCTTTTCCCAAGGTCGCACTGAGCAAGTCAGGATGGTGAAGAAAGTCTCCATCTCCAAACTGAACACAGGATTTGTTGAGGTGGCCTCCTGGAGCCTAAGTGTGTTTGGGGTGATATCTACAAACTTCCATCACTGCTTCACTGGTGGCCTTTGGAGAATCACCATTTTTTTTCGGTCTTGTTCTGTGGGATATATTCTGAAAAAATAGGACAAATGCTAAAATAGCGATGTCAAATTTAAGTTTTTCATAGAAATAGCATAGTAGGGAACTATACTCATTTTTATAAGGAATACATTTAATCGTTACTCTTTCCCTTCCTTTTTTCTTTCCTTAAGAAATATTGAACGTTGATTATGTACAAAGAATAGAATATGATGGGAAACAATACAAGTACCTTATTACATATCGCATAGTATAAATCTTTAAATTGTGACTATAAATTAAACAGAGCCCCTTGATGTCATGGCTCATGCCTGTAATCCCAGCACTTTGGGAGGCCAAGGCAGGTGGATCACTTGAGCCCAGGAATTCAGGACTAGCCTGGGCAACATGGCAAAACCCTGTCTCTACAAAATGTACAAAAATTAGCCAGGCATGATGGCTCACGGCTTCAGTCCCAGCTACGTGGGAGGCTGAGGAAGGAGGATCACTTGAGCCCTGGAGATTGAGGCTGCAGTGAGCCATGACTGTGCCACTGCACTCCAGCCTGGGCAACAGAGTGAGACCTGTCTCAATCAATCAATCAATCAATCAATCAATAAAACAGAGCAACTCAGCAATAATTATATATTTAATTATTCTAAGTATTATATTATGTTTAATAATATAATTATATTTAAATATTATATATTATGTAACACATCAAAGTGTATCATATGAAGTTTTTTGTCTCCATCAGTCTCTCTTATTTTGATAGTAATGATAAAACACTGGCCCAACTTAATCCTCAGAATGTGTTTATTGAATTAAATGGTAGCCATGGAATTCAGAAGAACTTATTTGAAGAGCTTTAAAAGAGAAATAACACTTATGATTTTCCCTATTACAAAAGTATTTGTTCATAGTAGAAAATTGGAAAATTCTGGGAAACATAAGGAATAAAAGAACAATCATGCCTAATTCTATCATTCAGAGATAGCAATTACTACTAATATTTTGGCATATTTTCTCTAGCCTGTGTGTGTGTGTGTGTGTGTGTGTGTGTGTGTGTATCTGTGTGTATGTGTGTGTGTACACAAAGAAAAAGCCAGAGGAAATGCCATTTTTTTATACAAATATAAAACAAAAATGAGATCTCACAATATACATTGCTTTTAGACATATTCTTAAAATTTATATCATGAGCATTTCTTTTTGTTAATAAAGTTTTATAAAACATGATTTTTAATGGGCTGCAGATTATTTCATTATATAAATGTGCATAATTTAACTAATCCCTTATTTTTGGTCATTAAGGTTATTTTAAAATTTTAGGCTGGGTGCAGTGGCTCCTGCCTGTAATCCCAGAATTTTAGGAGGCCGAGGTGGGTGGATCACCTGAGGTCAGGAGTTTGAGACCAGCCTGACCAACATGGTGAAACCCCATCTCTACTAAAAATTCAAAAATTAGCCAGGTGTGGTGGTGGGTGCCTGTAATCCCAGCTACTTGGGAGGCTGAGGCGGGAGAATAGCTTGAACCCAGGAGGCAGAGGCAGAGGTTGCAGTGAATCAAGATCGTGCCATTGCACTCCAGTCTGGGCAACAAGAGTGAAACTCCATCTCAAAACAAAACAAAACATTTTAACCAGTATATATAACTCCCAATTGAGTATCTTTATATATAAACTTTGTGTATGTTTTGACCATTTTTAGAATAAGTTCCTAGAAGAATTACCAGAGGTACCGAGCCAAAAAGGAATGAGCATTTTTCAAGCCTCCTAATTTCCCTCCAATATTAAGAGTGCATGAGAATAATTGCTACATCTTTTTAAACTTTGGATATCAAACTTTAGAATTATTGTTTTTGGGGAAGATTTAGGCAGATACTGTCTTTAGATTACAGAAATGTCAACAGAAGTGGTCTAAGAGAAGTTATACAGTATAAAATTTGACATCTGAATCTTGGAAAAATTTTCAGTTAAATTTATATGTGTTATTTACTTCATTAGTTGCAGTGTCCAGTTACACAAACTGATCAAACACGCAACGTCACTGAGTCACAGAGACTGACTCGAAACCCTCAAAGGTGGCCCAACCTCCTACCAAAAGATTAAGCCCCTCCTGTAACATTTCTTACCAAGGGTTATTTAGTTTCTGTTTAAACACTCCCAAGCCCTAGGCCTTCCTCACTTCACCAGGTGCTCCTTGAAGTTAGTTTTCACTTATGCAGAATAGGCTTGTGTAGGCTTACCCACCTCTGAGTCCTTGAAAGTGATCCAGACCGACTTCACAGCAAATGTACCATGTTGTGGGTTTACATTTCCCATAAGTTGTGTACGGTACATATTATCTTCATTCCATATTCTCAAATTTGCAATCAACTACGGACAATCCTAAAAGAACCTAGGAAATATTGGCACTGGACATAGGTCAGTTTCAAGCAATCTAATTATGGTGTTACACATGACTATGTTGGCTTCTAACAGTGGCTTTACCTCTGACCATGATGAATTTGCTACTGAAGAGAATGTCTTCTTGGATCGTATGCATTCCCTGGTGTATGATCCTGCAGCATGGATACTGAAATCATGCCACGTTCCCAGGTATCTAGAATTATTGGAAGGTACAGTGCTTTTGTAGGGTCAACAAACGTGATGGCTTCTTGTTTATGAGTTAGTGCTGCCATAATAATAGTACTCTGTGGTCATAAATTATTGCACAAATCTTATCTTCTTTGAATTTCTAAATAATCTTGTGAAGTAAATATAGTGATTATGTTGTTCTCGATATTATTAGGTATAAATACATATTCTCAGTTTTAAGGATGAAGAGGCCAAATTTCTGAAAAAGTCACACATCTAATTAATTTTAACTGATGGACAGTGCTTGAAAATCAAGAACAGATCTTCGAATTCCACATTCTGTGCTGTTTTTACCACTTAATTTAATATAATACCTTACCTCGCCCATCGTTTCTGACTTAATGCTTACTGATTTCAAATGATACTATGAAGTAAACACCTAAGAGTCCTGTATGAGTTTTATGATTTCTCTAATCCAAGGACTAGGTTAAAACAATCCTGTGGACTTTGACCAGATACAGTCCTTCAAAAAAAAAAAAAAAAAAAAGAAGTCTGCATTTTTGTGTTGTGTCCACACAGCCAAAATATTTCTTTTAATATTTGTGGAAATTTCATCAGCAGGAGAAAATAAGGGCCAAAACCTTTCTTATCGGATTCGATTGCTTGTCCCCCCTTATTAAAGAGGACACCAAAACCAGAGAAGCCAGTGACTGACAAATGGGAAGTGTATGCTGAAACGGGGCACCTTTGCTGTTGATGAAAAAAGAATAGGCCAAGTTGGAGAGGCCAAATATGACCCCATTTGTATCTAATTTGTATGTTTTTGATATCCATCTGCTGCACAATTACAAACGTTGGCATCTAGACTGTGGAAGAAAGAGACAATATAGAATGCCTGAGCCCAGCAAGACCTTTTAGCTCTTTGAGTGAGAGCTCCAGAGTGAAGATAAAGGTCATCTTGGAAGTGAAGTATCAAGACTTTCATTAGTCCATGAATCAGAATTTTATCTCAGCCTCACTCTTCATGCTGACACCCTAGGGTGTAGTAAAACAGAGTTCTAATCAAAACAGCATAATGAAATATAATCTACAAAGGAAAAGGTTTATAGGTTAGCTTTCAAAACAGGTGTTTTGGCATTTTTAAGAATAAAACTCTCTGACAAGTTTCTTTTGTAGTTGAATATGATCTGTAAGATGTATTTTTTTCACAGAACTTCAGCAGTCCCACAGTAAGACACTTAAAGTTCTCATAAACAGAATGAAAATGGAGCTCAGAACATTTTCCATGTTAGAAGCCGTGTAGGGCAGAGGGGATAGTAACACTCTTTTCTGTGTGGTTGAACTAATTCTACTCAATCAATTGCTTTATTCAAATAGTCAGTATGAATAAACAAATATTTATTTAGCAGCTATTTAGTTGGCCCTCAGCAAATATTTATTGAGGGCCGACTCTATGCCAACATTATTAGATCTAATAATTAGATCTAATAACAACATTATTAGAAAACCCTACCTAGTCTTCCACTGGCACACACAGAAGAGAATAATTAGGAAGTGAAAGAGAAGTCGTAAACTGAAGAATGAAGCCATCTGATGATGACATCATGCTATTTGCACAGTGCCATGTTTTCCCAGGCTCATTGCCTTGAGAAAATGCTTCAGCTACCCTTTCCTTATGGAGATTTAAGTCCTAATTCAAGACATTAAGGAATTAGGAATTCAAATCCCATATTTCTCCATCCTTGTTCATGTTATCGTTAGCTTTTGAAAAGGAAGAATGATTGGCCATTTTAGTCATTGTGTCAGTGAAAACTCTATGGAATTGGTGTTTTTTTAAAAAATATATGACACCCTCATTTTTAAGATATACAGCTTTTATGCATTAAAAATGCATGAAATGTAGACAAATTTTAATGCTGACCATAGCATTTGTTTACTTATGCCAATTTATGCTATGTTCTGAAGTTTGAGTCTAAACCTTTGTCATGTCCTACGTCTAAGGTTTTTCCTGAATCATTTTCTAGTATCTGCCATGATGGCAATATTGCAATGACTTCTGCATCTTACAACCCATGTTCCTGCTCAGGCCTCCTCAGCACTAGGACAGTGACTGGCTTCTATGCTTTCCATGCACATCGAAAAAGCTGTGTCTGCACTTGTTGTTTCATGCCTTCCTTGTTTGACTCATGGATCTCTGAGAGGTCAACTGCTTGATGCTGTTGATAGATAGTATTTTTGAGCCTGTCTTATGGTTCTTCATGGGTTTACCTCCCCTTGCTCTAAAAATTTTGTCACCTATTCCAACATATTTAGCTATGCTCATACATGTACGGGCAATCATATTTCTTTGAACATAGATTTTAAAATTACTCTTTATTTCAGAAATGTTAAAATATGAAGACATAAAATCTCAGAATCAAGGAAAAGAGGGCAACTGAAACCCAAGTAGTCATGTTGCTTCCCAGGAAGATGATGGGCTGGACAAAGGAGCTGGGAGGTCAGGTTTGTACCTGCATGGCGTAGGGTCATCACTTAGCTCCATGTGCCTCTTCTGAGGGCACAGGTGTATGTGTTTGTGGTTGACTGCTTTGATATATTCCATTTCGGTTTTAAAACACCCTGAGGCAACAGGGACCAAACTACTTTTATCCATTCACAAACATCCGAAAACCAAATGTGGATCTAGGAAAAGAGATTGTTAAAGAAATTAATTTTTGCTATTACTACTAGTATTTTTTTAAAAAAAGCACTGAAACCAAACCAAAACGCAATTATTTTTCTTAGCATAAAAATTCTATACTCATACTCAGAAGTTTAAAAAAATACAATATTTATGAAGTAAACATATATTTGATTTTTTACAATTAAAAACATGCACCAAATATGCCAAGAGAAAAAGAAAGAAAATCAAAAGGTCTTATTGCTAATACTTAGTAAAAGTAGTTTACACAGAGAATCAGTATAGTTGGTTCTCCAGAAAAGACTAATTATCAGTTACTAGAAATAATTTATACATTAACACAATTTTTATAGTTTTTATTCTAAAAGTTATAAGCACAATGAAAATAATGATTTTTCGTCATCCTTTTGAGAACAAATTACTGATCTAATACGCCATCGTTCTATTCTGTGCTGTGTTTCCTATAAGCAAGAATATTCCTACATGTACTCAATATAATCATCAACATTAGATAATTAATATTGATATGTTTCTACTATTTAATTTGCAGAGTCAATTCAAATTTGCTAATTGTCCTAACAATATTATTCTTCATAGCAAACGTATCAAGTTCAGAATCCCCTGTTGCACTTAAATGTTGGTGTGGTCTGGCTCTGTGTCCCCACCCGAATCTCATCTCAAATTGTAATCCCCACATGTCAAGGGAGTACCGCAGCCTTCTCATTTCCTTCACTCTGGAAAAGTGCCTCATTTTCTCCTTGACCTTCATTATCTTGACAACTTTGAAAAGGACAGGCCAATGCCTGTGGAATGCCCATTAATTTGGATTTGTTTGATGTTTCCTCATGATTATATACAAGATACGCATCGCTGGTAGAAATGCCACTAAAAACATGGTGGAAACACCGTGAAAAAGAGACACTTTGCTTTCTTCTCTCACTGCATCATAAGAGGAGGTGCCCAACTTTGATATGTCCCATTACTGATAATGTGTAGTTGGATCACTTGATTAAAATAATATCTACCAGTGTACTCCACAGGCAGATGGAGTATTTAGTGCTGCCATAATAATAGTACTTTGTGTTCATAAACTATTGCACAAACATTGTCTAGTATGTAATATACTAAAGTTAAAGTTATTCATTAAAGTTATTTATTTTCCTTTGCAATTAGCACATACTTGGTGGGAAGTATGTTGAGACTATAAAAACATGAGGTTCCTCATCAAACTCCAATTGATTCATATATTTATTTACATCATGACGATTTGTGGTTTTCTATTTTATTCAATAAATTTTATCCTGTTACCATTACTTATTTAATGGTGATTTTGTTTTCTGGCTTTTGCTATGGGAGCCTCTTTCAGGTGGCTTGGTATCTTTTGACATAGTTCTGTGTGGGTGCCCTTCTTACCCTGCTTGGGCTCTGACACCGGCATCTTTCCTGCCTGGCCCCCTCTTGGTTGCCCTCCTTTCCCACCCAGGCTCTGCCACTGTGCTGGGGGTCACCTCATTCTGTCCCCATCTGCTCATAGGTGGCATAGTTGTCTTTCCTGCCCAAACCCACTCAATGGCCTTTGGAATGAATTGTTCAGGAAGGGAAGAGAAAGAAGAATTTTTGTTTCCATTGTTTTCTTTCAATGGCTTTTCCAGTCCTTCATTAATTTAGTCACAAATGTTGTTTTGAGCATGGATATTTTACTGAGGTCTATCTTGGTCTAGTAGATATAAAGGTAAGATACAGATGCCCATTTGGGAGCAGAAAACTTAGCAGGGAAGAGGAAACATGAGCACAGCCATCTAAAATTAGGTGTTGCTAATGTTCTACTGAAGGGATGAAGAAGGAATGTACCAGGGCTGTTCTCCACAGGCAGGAAGATGGCCTCAGAGGTCAGTTTCAAACAGGGCACCTTCTAGGACAAGGAAACAGTATTGGTCAAGCTGTTCTAGCCCGTAGCCCCCAGGCCACATGGGGCCTAGGATGGCTTTGAATGCAGTCCAATACAAATTGGTAAAGTTTCTTAAAACATTATGAGATTTCTTTGTGTGTGATTTCTTTTTCTTTTAGCTTATCTGCTATCACTAGTGTTGGTATATTTTATGTGTGGCCCAAGATAA
The DNA here is from genome assembly GCF_000001405.40 of Homo sapiens. Taxonomy (NCBI): domain Eukaryota; kingdom Metazoa; phylum Chordata; class Mammalia; order Primates; family Hominidae; genus Homo; species Homo sapiens. The sequence continues at coordinate 146,296 of NT_187543.1, read as the reverse complement.
TTATTTTTCTTCCAATGTGGCCTAAGAAGGCTAAAAGGCTGGGCATCCCATGGATAGGTAAAGGCTGAGCATCCCATGGATAGGTAAAGACTGGGCATCCCATGGGTAGGTAAAGGCTGGGCATCCCATGGGTAGGTAAAGGCATGGAGGCCTGAAAGTGCAGGTAATCTTTGGGGAATAGCAAGTGATCACTGGGATCAAGAAGAGAATGTATAAATATGTGTTAAGATAAAAGCAGTAAAAAGAAAGGTTAGGGCCAGATTAGAAGGACTGTGAATATCATGTTAAAGTTTAAACTGTGCATATTAGAGTATGTGTTTTATAAAGAAAACTTTGGCAACAGTGTGGAGAAGAAATTGGAATTACATGGGAGACCATTTAAGGAGAATATTATCCACCTTTCTTTCCAACTAAGCAAAAGGCCCAGGATTCTGGTCTACACCAAGGGGTCCAGAGATAGTGAGGGTGGGGGAATTCTATGCCTCTAGGTCTGAGGCAGAGTGGTAGCTGGGTAAAAAAGTTCTAATGTACATCTGTTGCATTTCTGAGGTGTAAATACTCCCTCCATGGCCAGTTTTAAGCTATCAGCATCTCATTACTGAGCAGAGTTTAGAAGGCATTAGTATAGTCAACTTCCCTAGCCAGTGCAAGCCAGCTCTAGCTTACTCCTGACAGGTGAGGACGTGTCCTGTAACGGGAAGGGAAATGAGTGTAGGATCACAGAGAATGACTTTATGCAAAGCGGTGGACTTTATGGAACAGGTCAAAGACCTGCTCTGCACCAGAACTAGCTGAGGCTGTCTAAGGCTGAGTCAAGCACCTGGTGGCCTAGGGGGCCTGATCCAAGGGAGAGCAGGACAGGGCCCTGGTTCTGGTTGCCTGGGGAAGAGATAGCATGAATAACAAGCTGTGCTTTTGAGGGAAGACCCCTGAGAGCAGGCTGAGGAAACCCAGGGCCTATGAGGTATTTAGCAAGAGTTCCCTTCCTGGTCAAGGACAGGGCTGTGGCAGGAGGCGGCTTCTGGGAGGGTTCAGAGCCACTGGCAAGCTATGTTCTCAGAGCCTTCCACTGGTGTGCATGATCCCCTTACCTCAGAGTGACTTTCCTAAACACTTCCGCTTTCTCCTCTGTCATACACTTTCTCCAAGACAAGAAAGTGCTATCAGTTTGAATCAGGGCTAAGAAGAGAATAATAATAGCAAATCATAATGAGTCGCACTGAGGTCTGTGATGTCACTTTTCTAAATGCTTTCTATGTCTTAAGTCTTTAATGCTCACTGATATGATTTTCATTTTATAGATGAGGAAATTCAAGCAGGAAGAGATTAAGTAACATTCAGGTGAAATAGCTGGAGAGGGTATAGTGGTAGAACATGCCATAGCGGGCTGACTCCATAGCCCATGCCCCACTCTGCTACACTGGGGAGAAGAAAAAATCCAGGGAGGACAAAGTATTAGTATCTCAAGATACCATGCACTGCATAAATGAGGTAGGTGAGTCCATGACCTGGCATCTAACAGATGTGCAAGTAATCTGTTTTGAATAGATAAATGGAAAGCCTCTATTACATCAGTTAATCTTTATACGGTGAGAGTTTTATAGCCTTCACTATCTTGCGTTTTGATTTTGGGTATTTCAGAATTAAGATGATCTTTGAGCAGCGCGTTATAGTTTCCCAAACAAGAATGTGAGAAACACCGGAAGAATACGCCCAGCCTCAGCCCGAAACACCGCGGGAATACGCCCGGCCTCAGCCTGGGACACCGGAAGAATAAGCCCGGCCTCAGCCTGGAACACCGGAAGAACACGCCCGGCCTCAGCCCGGAACACCGGAAGAACACGCCCGGCCTCAGCCCGGGACACCGCGGGAACACGCCCGGCCTCAGCCCGGGACACCGCGGGAACACGCCCGGCCTCAGCCCGGAACACCGGAAGAACACGCCCGGCCTCAGCCCGGGACACCGCGGGAACACGCCCGGCCTCAGCCCGGGACACCGCGGGAACACGCCCGGCCTCAGCCCGGAACACCTGAAGAACACGCCCGGCCTCAGCCCGGGACACCGCGGGAACACGCCCGGCCTCAGCCCGGGACACCGCGGGAACACGCCCGGCCTCAGCCCGGGACACCGCGGGAACACGCCCGGCCTCAGCTCGGAACACCGGAAGAACACCGGAAGAACACGCCCGGCCTCAGCCCGGGACACCGCGGGAACACGCCCAGCCTCAGCCTGGAACACTGCGGGAATACGCCCAGCCTCAGTTTTGAAATATTGCATCAGTTCTTCTGCTCCTACATCATGGAGCTCTTCCTCATCAATAGATTTAATTAATTTAAATATTTATTTACAATAGCCTCTTTTATCTTGACCTGTTCTGCACAAGGCAGTCCTGGATACTGTGCTGAGGGTTTCACTCCGCGATAGCCGGTGCCCTACCCGAGTCTCTGCACAGCGGCTACATCCCCGTCTCAAACCAGTGCTCTGGCGTCTGTGTTTACCCTCCCTGAGCTTACTGTATAAAAAAGACTGCTTTTGAGAGACATCAAGAATGCACGGTTCCACCTTTATGATGAGAGACAGATCCCATTAAAAGAAAAGTTCTGCATTCTGAAAAACTGAGTAGGTTGGCACTTAAAAGGGAATTCCAGCTGGTTAATTTAGGGTGCTGAAAAAAAGATCCGGCACAGGAATGCTTTCTGGCTGTGGGCCCACTGCATTTTCAACTGATTGCGAACTGGAGACGTTTTCATCACACGAGGGACTCCGCTTTTCAGTATCATGTTGTTCTGAGACAGGAAAACAAGTGAGCACACACGGTTTGGCCCTGGTATCCTAGCTATATTCACGAACATGATCAATGCCAGTTGCATGGAAACCAAAGATAGCCTTATGCTTGCCGATATATTAAAAGTAAAAAAAAAATCTGAATGAAAATTTTAAAAATATTTTCCGTCTTGAAGTTTTTTTTTATTCTTGCCTCCTAATTTTCTTTTCTGTTGTGTCTAAGAAAATATTCTGAAGATATGAAAAGAGCTTTAGGTAAAAGAACAGTTTTGAAAATTGTTAATTTCCTGTGGTATTTTTTTTCTTCAGTGGCTTAATGTGAAAAAAATGTATAGGAATCCTCTGTGGGTCCAGGCAGCTCTCCAGGGCAGCTGTCCTCCATGCAATGATCCAGCAATTCATACAGCTTTAGCCTGTTGCTCTACCAACTCCACACCAGACCTGGTTCTTTGACAAAGAGAATGAGAAGCTCAGATGCTGTGGAGAGACTTTTCGCGGCTTTGGCCTGAAAGTGACACATATTGCTTCTGCTCCCGTTTCCTGGGCCAGAAGTTGTTATATGGCTCTGCCTAACTGCAAGCGTCTGGGAAGCATAGTCTCCCATCTGCCCAGAAAGAAGAAGAGAGCTGGATATTGCTGAACACTGGTAATGGCATGTTGTCCAATCATGCTTCCCAGAAACCGGCATAGTCCAAATGGTCTGTGCTCCAAGTGAACAGAAAAAAACCCTAAGTCTGCTGCCACCTATACAAACTAACAAAGCAAAACACCTCCCATTGTGATTTCTCATTTCTATAGAGTGTTGAAGTTTCCCTAAATAAATTGTCCCTTTCATAGAATTTTCTTTTCCATTTTTCCAATTTTCTCTTATTCCATTCATTTCAGCCAAAGGAATGTTGCTCACCTCTCTAGGTAGAGTCTGGATAACTTTTGCAGTAGCAGTAGCCCCAAGAATTGATGCCCTCAGAAACATGTCTGCATTTGAATTACTTCAACTCTGAATATTCTTTGTGCTATTTATTGTCAAGGCATTTAAAACTGTATGATGCAGTTGGCCTCAATACTATTAATGCACTGTCTTGGTTCCTCATCCTGGTGGTAGGACTGTTCCTCTCTTCTCAATACCACTTGGGGGGCTGGCTATCAAGTGACCAAATTTAGGGATGGTTGGGACAGGTATTGATGACCTAGAGATCCAATATTCATTTATTCTGTTTCTAACACTGTTCATTGCTTTGTATAAATCCAAGTTGCTGTCTGGTGTCATATGTCTTCCTCCCAGAGAACTCCCTTTAACATTTCTTACATGTAGGTCTGTTGGCAATGATTTCTCTCCGTTTTTATTTGTCTGAGAAAGTCTTTATTTCTCCTTCATTTTCTCACAGGGAATAAAACACTGAGTTGATATTTTTTTTTCTTTCAGCGCTTTCAAGATGTCACCCCATTGCATTCTGTATTGCGTGATTTCTGATGTGAGATCTACTGTAATTTTTCTGTGCTCCTTGTTATACAATTTGTAAGAGCTATAAAGCGTCTGAACTTTTATTCTACTTTTAAGCTAAAAATTTAGCCTGCTGTAGTTTCATAGAAGCTGGTAGAAGACAGGAGACAACAAACAAATGACAACGAGCAATCAGTGACACACTTTGTAAGATGTTCGGGAACAGGAGAGAGCTGTGGAAAGCTGGCTCCCAACAGAAATGTGTGTTTCATTGGCTGACTTCAGGATTACCTGTTTGTGTTTTGTTTTCAGTTTGAATACAAAATATATAGGCGTTCATGCATGCGCATGCGCTTGTGTGTGTGTGTGTATGTATGTGTGTATGTGTGTTTGTCTCTGTGTGTCTTGTGAGTATGCATGTGTCTCTGTGTGTGTCTGTGTGTGTGTGTATGTATGTGTGTGTGTGTGTGTGTGTGTGTGTGTGTGTGTGTTGGTACTTACTCCTGTATGGTATTGTGAGCTATTTGGCTCAGAGATTTGTTGTCTGTCATTGTTGTCTGTTTGTGACACTCTTGGCTATTATTTCTTTTGTCCTATTCTCCTCCTCTCTCTCTTTAGAGATTCCACGTATACGTGTGTTAGATCATTTGATAGTCTCTCACGGTGCTTGGGTGCATTATTCCGTGTCTGCTGCTGTACAGTCTTTTTTATTTGTGTCTTAGCCTAGGTACTTTCTATGGACCTGTCTTTAAGTTTACTGATTATTTTCTCGGTTAAGTCTTCCAATGGGGCTGTAGAAGATGCTTTCATCTCTATTACTGTCTGTTATTTCTGGGATTTGAACTACATTATTTGTTACAGTTTCCATCTCTATGCTGAAATAATCTGTCTGATCTTAAACATCATCCACCTCTTTATTGAAGGCTTTAACTTATTAATCATAATTATTTTAAGCTCTTTATCAGATAGCTCCAACATCTGTGTCGCACCTGAGTCTAGTTATGCAGATTCCCTTTTATTTTTTTTTTCGAGATGGAGTTTCGCCCTGTCTCCCAGGCTGGAGTGCAATGGTGCTGAGAGGTGACAACGTGCTAGCAGCCCTTGCTCGCTCTGGGCGCCTCCTCGGCCTCAGTGTCCTCTCTGGCCGCGCTCCAGGAGCCCTTCAGCCGGCCGCTGCGCTGTGGGGACCCCTCTCTGGGGCTGGCTGAGGCTGGAGCCGGCTCCCTCTGTTCGCGGGGAGGTGTGGAGGGAGAGGCGCAGGCCGAGCCCGGGCTGCACGCATTGCTGGCGGGCCGGCGCGGGGCGCGGGTTCCAGGTGGGCGCGGCTCTGCAGGCCCCGCACTCCGCGAGGCCGGCCGGCACCTGCTGGGCTTGACCGGGCTTGATACGGGGACGAGCTCCCTCTGGGCTGCCAGAGTGCCCGGGCTGGGTGCCGAAAAGTCCCATGGCCAGTGCCATTGAGAGGTGAAGCCAGCTGGGCTTCCGGGTAGGGTGGGAACTCGGAGAAATTTTCTGTTTAGCTAAAGGATTGTAAACACACCAATCAGCACTCTGTGTCCAGCTAGAGCTTTGTAAATGCACCAATCAACACTCTGTGTCTAGCTAGAGGTTTATAAACACACCAGTCAGCACTCTGTCTAGCTAGAGGTTTGTAAACACACTGATCAGCACTCTGTGTCTAGCTCATCTGGTGGGGACTTGGAGAACTTTTACGTCTAGCTAAAGTTTTGTAAAAGCACCAATCAGCGCTTTGTCAAAATGGGCCAATCAGCTCTCTGTAAAATGGACCAATCAGCTCTCTATAAAATGGACCAATCAGCTCTCTGTAAAATGGACCAATCAGTAGGATGTGGGTGGGGCCACCAGTGGCAACCCGCTCTGGTCCCTTTCCAGGCTGTGGAAGTTTTGTTCTTCCGCTGTTCGCAGTAAATCTTGGTGCTGCTCACTCTTTGGGTCCATGCTGCCTTTTTGAGCTGTAACAGTCACCGCAAAGGTCTGCAGCTTCACTCCTGAAGTCAGCCAGACCATGAACCCACCAGCAGGAAGAAACTCTGGACCCATCTGAACATCTGAAGGAACAAACTCCGGACACACCATCTTCAGGAACTGTAACACTCACCGCGAGGGTCCACCGCCAGGGTCCACGGGTCCGCAGCTTCATTCTTGAAGTCAGCGAGACCAAGAACCCACCAATTCCGGGCACAGTGCAACTTCCGCCTCCTGGGTTCAAGCGATTCTCCTGCCTCAGCCTCCCAAGTTGCTGGGATTACAGGCATGCACCACCACGCCTAGCTAATTTTGTTGTATTTTTAGTAGAGACGGGGTTTCACCATGTTGGCCAGGGTGTTCCCAAACTCCTGACCTCAGGTGATCCACCCGCCTCAGCCTCCCAAAGTGCTGGGATTACAGGCATGAGCCATGGCACCTGGCTGCAGATTTCTTTGTCTCTTGGCAGCGCATTGTTTTTTTTCTGTCTTTTCACATGCCTTGTAATTTTTTGTTGGAAAGTCAGACATCTTGTTCAGGACAGTAGAGACAAAGCTAGATAGTTTTTGTGTGTGGAAGTGGGTGATCTGCGAGGCCTTTAGTGTGGGCATTTGTGTTCATCTAGTGAGGAGTTGGGAAGGGTTTGAGATTTGTAGTTCCTATAATTATCCTCCATGATCCACAGTCTTCAGATTCCTCTAGCAATCCTGTGTATTTGATGTGGGGACAGTTCCCCAAAGTGTTTCTCAAAGTCTGCTCCACTCTCAGCTTTGGGCCTTCCCTCTGTGCTGTGCGGTGGAGAGCGCCGGTCTCTTATAGCTCGCTCCTCAGTGCCCGCGGCACCTTGCTCCCAGCAGTGTTGCACCTTGCTCCCCGCAGTGCTCCGTGGCACCTTGCTGCTCACGCTGGAAGCTTGTTAGTGCAGGGAACCGTGCTGGACACATCCTCTGCTGTTCTGACCCAGCCTCGGTCTCCACCTCCGTCCTTGGTTCACAGAGGCGTGACCTTCATGAGTGTTTCTCCTCCTCAGCTCTAGTTGATCCCGGAGCAATGCATTTTCTAGATCTCAACATCACAGATCGGAAGTCGGAACGGTTAGTTTGTTTTTATCTCTTAATTTATGGTCTTCAATTTGCCCATTTAATGGAAGGAAAATAGTGCGACTATTGTAACTGAACTGTCCCAGATGTAAAAGTCAATCATTTAGGCATCTAGGAAGAACCGCTAAGATACTTTGTGGGAAACAGAAGTCATGTTGGACATTATGCCTACTTCCCAAGAGCTTGTGGTCTAAATGGCAAATAGTTTCTAGTAAACCCATAGTTAAAATCTAAAATGTGTGACCTGCCAAGAACAGTTGAATGATTTCCAGGAAGGGAGTGACGACTGAGGTCAACTGCCAGGAGGAGGTGAGGCTTGGAGTCTGCATTGCTGAATGCAAAGGGCGGGGGCTTTGCTGTCAGACTGGGCAGATGCCAGCTCCCAGCTTTGCCTCTTGCCTGGTGTAGCATGTCAGTTAAATGGCTTCACACCTCTGTGTCCTAGTGGATAAAGTGCCGATGATGTTCGACCTTCAGGCTTGCCAACGGAACTAAAGGAAATAATATATGAAGACCTTCATATAGTTCTCAGCTTATAGAAGGGATATGAGCCATTAGAATTTAATTTTTGTTTTTTCTTCTGAAACCCCAATTATAAAAAATGGTAGCTTTTGCATAGGCAGAGAGAAGACAGGAAAGAACTCTAGAAGAGGAAAAAGTAGAAGTGAAGTGCCTGGATTTAGCAGTGATTATGATAGTTTTGTGGCACATGGAGACCAGCCTAGCTAGAGCAGCGACTGAAAGCGACAGGAATTAGTATAACTCCAGCGGCAAAACACAGGCAACAAATGCACACTTTTGATGGTTTGGTGCCTAAACCCTCACCTGGGCTTTTAGGCCAATATCAGACCTGCCTCATCAGGGCCATACATAGACTTGCTGGTGCCCTTCCTTGCAGAGGTGCACTAGTGCCTTTATTCCAGATAAGACAGAAGGAACAATTTCTTGGGATGGGTCAGGGTATACCTAGTTCACCATGGCAGGATGTGGCTCAGACTTTTGGAGGCTTTATTAACCAGGTCTTTCTTTCCGATGCTTTGATATCTGCGATCTTGCCTGCCGCTCCCAGAGTTAGCCAATTCCTAGAGATAGTAAAGGGTTCACCTTCAAGTGTGTCTTTCAAATGCAAACCAACCAACCCAGAGCCATACCCCCAACCCACTTCTTTAGGAGCTCTCAGACTCAGGGCCACTGTTCTGCTGCCCTGATTGCTCAAGGCCAGGTCCTGGACAACTAGGAACAGCCCCAGGGGCCATCAAGGTTATTCAAACTAGCCAATCCTAAACCTGCTTATCCTGCCTCATGTACCTTCCTGTGGGAACTGTAATGAAGACTCTTGCCTGTGTCTTTCTCTCACTCCCTCTGCCTCCTGAGTGACCCCAGTGCTTTTCCATGTGGGCCTCTGGTGTGCAGAGCCCACTTGTCCTGCGACCTGTGAGTAACAAACCATCTTTTCAGTCGTATTGTCTTCTGACCTGCTGGCCTCACCACATCTGAATAATCATAAAGCCTACATTTTAAAACAGACAAATCCCCTTACAAGAACAGGGCAGATACTCGTTATATGTTCACATCCAGAGTCTGTTAAAACAGAGACAAATCCGGTTACAAGGACGGGGCAGATACTGGTTCTATGTTCACATCCAGAGTCTGTTAAAACAGAGACAAATCCCCTTACAAGGACGGGGCAGATACTGGTTCTATGTTCACATCCAGAGTCTGTTAAAACAGAGACAAATCCCCTTACAAGGACGGGGCAGATACTGGTTACATGTTCATATCGAGAGTCTGGGCTGACAGGAGGAACTCAGTGTCTGGAAGACAAGGAGCAAGAACAGTGAGTTAGGTGGGAGGTGGCTGAGGGGAAGGTGTTTTGCCAGAGTAATGGAGGTGACGTGGAGGAGGATTGAAGCCCAGCAAGGGCTCTGTTGAGAAATACGTCCAGGCCGGGGGCTTGCAGCGCTTCTCAGGGTTTTGGCACCCAGGGTGGTCAGGGGTTGGTACCCAAGCTCTGAGAGACAGGACCTCAGGCTAAAGGAGAGAGACATGTTTCCGAATGAGAGACTCAAGGTTTTGGCACCCAGGGAAGTCAGGGGCTGGTACCCAAGTTCTGAGAGACAGGACCTCAGCCTAGAGGAGAGAGACATGTTTCCAAATGAGAGACTTGGATTCTGGGTAACACAAGTGATGTGAAAGCTTAATAATAAATCTTGGGAATGAAGCATAAGCCCAGATGTGAAACCTACGGTGCCATATCTGTGCTGGACAATAGGAGGCAGTGCTGCCCAACCCAAGGATATTGGCCAAAGCCGCCTTCAGTACTTTCTATCTAAGGTCAGCATTAAGTCTAGGAAAGACCAGACTGGGGATGAGCCTGTGGGGAGGTCAGGTTGCCACAACTGTGCGGGGAAACCAGACCAGCTCTGGCAGAAGGTGTGGTCAGGAGTCTCGTTCTTGCGTCATCCACTCAGGGTTCTAGTACAAGTTCCTTTCTCACAAGTCTTGCTGTTCCTGTTACAGTCAGCCCACTCCCCAGTCCACACAGTTTCTTGGCCCCAGGGGCCCATTTTGCTCTCATCATCCTATGGAAGGTGCCTCTTGAAATTTATAGCCCCTAAAATCCTGCAAATGCGTTGATAACAGATGTCTACTTGGCTACATCTGAGAGGGCTTCTCTGTCATGACCACCAGCCTGCAGAGTGCTGTTCCCAGCTGCTGCTTCAAGGGGGGGTGCTGACTGATGGAATTTCTGCAGGGATCTCTTCATTCTTCCTCGTTTTTCTTCCTGAGGAGAAAATTTTGCTTTATCATTAAGTCTTCTGGGTCTGATTCTGCTCAGCTGAGTCTGACACTTTCCTAAATCTTACTTTCACAGCCTCTCATGAGGTGGTCTGAGTATTACAGAATTTGACTCTCCATTGCAAGGGAACAGGGGCCAAACCCCCTCCAAAATGGCTGCAGAATAGGGGCTAGCTCGGTGTTAGGCACCCTTGAATCTAGGTTCCTTAGCTCTGACTGTCCCTGTTCCCAAATCTGTGGAGAGTAGCCCACAGTGAACTCATCCGCCCTAGATCCAGGGTGATTCTTTTGCATCACTGCTCCTAGGAGAAGAATAGTCACAAAATCTTCAAGGTATACACACACACGTACATGTATATAGACATATGTCGGAAATACATATACGTATCTGTGTACACTCGAAAGATAGAACTTGGCCCCAAAATCATGCAATCATTTTAAACAATTTCTTTCATGGTACCAGAGACACCACACCATATGAAAGTTGCTTTGGGACCTGTTCAAGTTGAATTGTGCTCTCCAATAATTCACATCTTGAAATCTTAACCTCCAGTAGCTCAGAATGTGACTGCATTTGGAGACAGAGAAATAAGGAAAAAATGTAGATGCAGGCGGATACAGAGCAAGGGTGATGTAAACACACAGGGAGAAGACAGACACCAGTGAGCTGAGGAGAGAGGCCTGAAACAGGTCTTTTCTTTACAGCACTTGGAAGGCACCAACCCTGTCGACACCTCGATTTTGGACTTCTGGCCTCAGACCTGTGAGACAGTATATTCGTGTTGTGTAAGCTGCCCAGTTGTAGTACTTTTCCACAGTAGCCCCAGCAAATCAATACAGGGCCTACAGGCATGGATTTCTGTTCCAGTTACTTTGCTTTGCAATAAATGTCCCTAAAACTTCAAGGTGTAGAACAATCATTTTGTTATCTTCATTGATTCCGTAAGTGTAGCATTCAGAAGGGACACAGGGATGATGGCTTATCTCTAATCCATGATATCTGGGTCATTAGCTGGAAAGACCTGATAGTTGGATAGAATGGTCTCACTTACTCCCAGGTCTGGGCTGGAATGATGCAAAGACTAGGTCTGCTGCCAGGAGGGCCTACATGTGGCCTTTCCATGTGGCTTGGTTTCCTCACAGCTTGGTGTCTTTGGAGCAATTGTCTTTCCTGTATGGCGGCTTATGACACCAAGCATGAATGTTCCAGGGTACAAGCAAAAGTCAGATCCTCTTTTATGACCCAGCTTGGGAGTCACCCAGGCCACATCTGCCACATGCATGGGTCTAAGCAGTCACAATCCTTTCCAGAGTCAAGTTTCGCAGGATGGTCGTGGTGGCGGAACAGACCCCACCTCCCGATGGAAAAAATGACAATACATGTTAGGGCAATGTGGGCAGTGTTGCAAAAACTTCTAAAAGTTATTATTTCCTTGAGAGGACAAGCATGTTTAATCCAAACCATGTTACCCCTTCATACAGGTCTTTGCAAGCTTTGGACCACATGGAGATAGAGAAATAAGGAAAGGACAGATTAAATAATGTCTCAAAGCCAAGTGAAGAAAGTTGGGTGTGATTGGATAAGAAAATAAGACTTGGTTTACATTTTCAGAGATAATGTGTGAAGTACAATGAACGGAACATTTTATCTCCTTTTTAAGAAGCCGAAGATCAAATACACCAGTCAAAGTGATCCTCTGAGAGTGTTAATGTGGGAGAGCTTTCAGACCAACATGCTAATAATGAAAGCCTCATGCCCTAATCTAGGTAAGAGTTTGTTTGATCCAGAAGCCACTTGACAGAATCAGAAATACTAAAGCTCAAATGTCGAAAACTATGATTACAACCTGCAGTTTGATATGAATCAGCACCAGACAGATGCTGTCTCTTTTCCCTGATGAGAACAAATACATGCTACACCCAGCAGGAGAAAGGACTCCTGACGCAGCTGTAACTCAGCTCGGCTCATGAAGGAGGCCATGCTAGGTGTTTCAGGAGGTCTTGAGATGCATTAGGCTGAGGATTCTGCTTTCAAGGAGATTATAATTTAGTTAGGAAAATTTTCCTAACAAGCTGATTTTTCATTAATATGTAAAAAAAATCCCAAAATACAGAAATGTTCAGTATCATGGGCAATAAAGGTTAGAGCTAGAGTCAGATCGTTCTGTTTATTCTAAAGCAAGAGCTCTTTCTATTCTCATCAATGTCTCTTTAATGAGAAATCAAATATTACCTTCTATTTTTCTTTAAAAACAAGAACATTTGATGAATGGCTTTCAATTCTAAAGCCAGGAAGTAGGTAGGAGGAGCAAGGTTCTTAGGGTACGTCTTCTCTCTAAAACTGGAGCCGGACTTTGAGTGAGTGCAGTGTGAGCATTTCTGACCTTCCGAAAAAGGATTCCAGATGTTTCAGAGACATTTAATGCTCTCTGAATACCCGTGTGCTCACCCACATGCCACAGCTTGTGTCTAGTCAGACAGGAGCCATTTGTAGGGGCTGAGGGGGAATGTGTGATTTGTGGGAGCTCTGGGGTAAAGCATAGAACAGTGGCTGGAAGTTCTGCACTGTTTTTTTTTTTTTTTTTTTTTGACGGAGTCTCACTGTCGCCCAGGCTGGAGTTCAGCCGCGCGATCTCGGCTCACTGCAAGCTCCGCCTCCCGGGTTCACGGCATTCTCCCGCCTCAGCCTCCCCAGTAGCTGGAAGTACAGGCTTCGCCACCAAGCACAGCTAATTTTTTTGTATTTTCAGTAGAGACGGGGTTTCACCGTGTTAGCCAGGATGGTCTCGATCTCCTGACCTCGTGATCCGCCCGCCTCGGCCTCCCAAAGTGCTGCGATTCCAGGCGTGAGCCCCCGCGCCCGGCGAAGTTCTGCACTTCTGCTGTTCCCCCGCCTTGGCAATGGGGCCGCTTGCTGAGAGGTCAGTGTCCATCACTTGGGATCCTGAATAACCAGGTGGAGCCGAACCCCTACTGACCCGACCGATTGAGGGAGAAATCCATCTTTATTGTCTTAAGCCATGAAAAGCCATGTTTTCTTGTGAGAGCAAATTAACTCCCCATGATATTTGGGGATGTGAGCCACTGTGCCTGGCCCATCCAATCTATTTTTAAATGTGACAAAATTCATACTCTTCAGGTAAGTATGTTGAAATGATTCATCAGTTCTGCTTCTTATAATTTATTTTCCAGACTGTTATCATATTTCTTTTTTTTCTCTGACACCTTTTATTTCTTTAAGTAAAAGAAGACAAATATACTAAAAGTTTAGTATTAATAGTTTTGAATTATAGATGGCGGAAACCTTTGATAACATTAATATTTGAATTTTGAATTTTATTTATTTATTTTTTTTAATTTTATTATTATTATACTTTAAGTTTTAGGGTACATGTGCACAACGTGCAGGTTTGTTACATATGTATACATGTGCCATGTTGGTGTGCTGCACTCACTAACTCGTCGTTTAGCATTAGGTGTATCTCCTAATGCTATCCCTCTCCCCTCCCCCCCACCCCACAACAGTCCCCAGTGTGTGATGTTCCCCTTCCTGTGTCCATGTGTTCTCATTGTTCAATTCCCACCTATGAGTGAGAACATGCAGTGTTTGGTTTTTTGTCCTTGTGATAGTTTGCTGAGAATTATGGTTTCCAGCTTCATCCATGTCCCTACAAAGGACATGAACTCATCATTTTTATGGCTGCATAGTATTCCATGGTGTATATGTGCCACATTTTCTTAATCCAGTCTATCATTGTTGGACATTTGGGTTGGTTCCAAGTCTTTGCTATTGTGAATAGTACCGCAATAAACATACGTGTGCATGTGTCTTTATAGCAGCATGATTTATAATCCTTTGGGTATATACCCAGTAATGGGATGGCTGGGTCAAATGGTATTTCTAGTTCTAGATCCCTGAGGAATCACCACACTGACTTCCACAATGGTTGAACTAGTTTACAGTCCCACCAACAGTGTAAAAGTGTTCCTCTTTCTCCACATCCTCTCCAGCACCTGTTGTTTCCTGACTTTTTAATGATCACCATTCTAACTGGTGTGAGATGGTATCTCATTGTGGTTTTGATTTGCATTTCTCTGATGGCCAGTGATGATGAGCATTTTTTCATGTGTTTTTTGGCTGCATAAATGTCTTCTTTTGAGAAGTGTCTGTTCATATCCTTTGCCCACTTTTTGATGGGGTTGTTTGTTTTTTTCTTGTAAATTTGTTTGAGTTCATTGTAGATTCTGGATATTAGCCCTTTGTCAGATGAGTAGGTTGCAAAAATTTTCTCCCATTCTGTAGGTTGCCTGTTCACTCTGATGGTGGTTTCTTTTGCTGTGCGGAAGCTCTTTAGTTTAATTAGATCCCATTTGTCAATTTTGGCTTTTGTTGCCATTGCTTTTGGTGTTTTAGACATGAAGTCCTTACCCATGCCTATGTCCTGAATGGTATTGCCTAGGTTTTCTTCTAGGGTTTTTATGGTTTTAGGTCTAACATGTAACGCAATCCAACATATAAACAGAACCAAAGACAAAAACCACATGATTATCTCAATAGATGCAGAAAAGGCCTTTGACAAAATTCAACAACCCTTCATGCTAAAAACTCTCAATAAATTAGGTATTGATGGGATGTATCTCAAAATAATAAGAGCTATCTATGACAAACCCACAGCCAATATCATACTGAATGGACAAAAACTGGAAGCATTCCCTTTGAAAACTGGCACAAGACAGGGATGCCCTCTCTCACCACTCCTATTCAACATAGTGTTGGAAGTTCTGGCCAGGGCAATCAGGCAGGAGAAGGAAATAAAGAGCATTCAATTAGGAAAAGAGGAAGCCAAATTGTCCCTGTTTGCAGATGACATGATTGTATATCTAGAAAACCCCATCATCTCAGCCCAAAATCTCCTTAAGCTGATAAGCAACTTCAGCAAAGTCTCAGGATACAAAATCAATGTGCAAAAATCACAAGCATTCTTATACACCGTAACAAACAGAGAGCCAAATCATGCATGAACTCCCATTCACAATTGCTTCAAAGAGAATAAAATACCTAGGAATCCAACTTACAAGGGATGTGAAGGACCTCTTCAAGGAGAACTACAAACCACTGCTCAATGAAATAAAAGAGGATACAAAGAAATGGAAGAACATTCCATGCTCATGGGTAGGAAGAATCAATATCGTGAAAATGGCCATACTGCCCAAGGTAATTTATAGATTCAATGCCATCCCCATCAAGCTACCAACGAGTTTCTTCACAGAATTGGAAAAAAATACTTTAAAGTTCATATGGAACCAAAAAAGAACCCGCATCACCAAGTCAATCCTAAGCCAAAAGAACAAAGCTGGAGGCATCATGCTACCTGACTTCAAACTATACTACAAGGCTACAGTAACCAAAACAGCATGGTACTGGTACCAAAACAGAGATATAGACCAATTGAACAGAACAGAGAACTCAGGAATAATGCCGCATATCTACAACCATCTGATCTTTGATAAACCTGACAAAAACAAGCAATGGGTAAAGGATTCCCTATTTAATAAATGGTGCTGGGAAAACTGGCTAGCCATATGTAGAAAGCTGAAACTGGATCCCTTCCTTACACCTTATACAAAAATTAATTCAAGATGGACTATTTCCATATTTCTACAACACATTGAGGTTTAATAGGCTTAAAAATAAGTGAAGGAGAAAAGCTAGCTTTCTTCCTACTGGAGGCTAGTCCAAAGACCATTTCCCAGGCTTTCCATCTTACCAAGAGAAGATACAGATGTAAATGTATTCCAATTTAGCAAGTTTGCTATGCTGTGAAATGTGAGGCTTGAGAGACCTTCCCTGGGAGCCCATCCAAAGGGCTGAGTGACTGTTTTATTAAAGGGGCCTCCTCTCTAAGGTGGTCTTTCGAATAGATTTTGAGACTAGCAAGGCACTATGAGCCTCTTTGTATAAAAGTCTTGGGTTGACACATCTATATTTTTCTGCTTCTAGGCATTAATGGAGACTTGAAAGTTAATCTTTGTCTAATGCAGATAAATACGCAAATGCATATGCCATTAAGCTATATGTCATGCAGGAAGGTTGCCTGTGTGTTTATGAACTTCTCCAGTAGAATTGACTTCTGGTTTTACAAATTAAGAGACGATATGCCTAGTATATATATGTTAAGTCAGGTAGATAAAAGGAAAGCTGAGATTTGTATTTATATATGATTCTCTGTGGTAGAATATTTCTTCTTAACATTTGTTTGGTTAGTATTTAAAATTCTGGATTTGTGCAGTGCTATATTGACAAGTCAATACTCCAAAAAGAGTCATGCGTTATATTAATATTTGTTCAGACAGCACATGAACGCAAGTGCTACAAAAATATTGTCAGAGATTTTTTAAAAGGCTATTTATCTTCATTCATAATTATATGTATGTGCATGCATGACACCAAAGACAAAATTGTAATAACTTCTGCTTGTGAATGCAAATGCCTGGTACTGCTGTGGGAGCATTGGCAAGTGAATACATCAGTGCTAGCACATCCACAATCATTCTTCAGGCAGGGATTCTGCAAAACTAATCACCCAAGGAAACAAACACACCACAAAGAAGTAATTAGGAAGCCTGTGAAATTAGACCTGGTGGGTGGGGGTCCCTGCTGGGAAGGGCCACAGAAGTGACACATAACAGGTCATCTGTTGTTAAACCTGGGAGACAGACCCAAGCTCCGGCCCAGTCTAATTACATCAAACAAGGTGCTATTTGTATTCATTTCTGAAAGACAAACTAAGTTGAGAGTGAAGTATCTTTGTGATATATTCCAGGAGACGGGATGCTGAGGATGCTGGATGTGGGCAAGGACCAAGCTGTGGTCACACCGCTTTCGAGGTCACAGGCAGGCCTGTTTAACACCATAATGAATTCAGGAAGGAATGAAATGAGGCAAAAGGCCTACGCTATGACTGGATGAGCACTGCCTCAAATGTCCCCCAAAGGTGGGGGTTGCAGAGCACAGGAAGCCAAGGGGTGGGGCATGTCTGTGGTTAAACATCTTCCAATTCCCAGCTCTGCCCAGGTAATTCCCTTTCCTTCAGACCTTCTGGTTTTATTTAGTTGGCTGGTTTTACATTACTGTGCTCAGCTGAAGCTTTTGCTAATCTATTCACATTCCCAACACAAGATAAATCCTGCATATTTTTAAAAATGTGTTTAAGACTATAGGCTTATTTCTACCCAGATTATTAAAAAGTCCCTCTCATGATGCTGGTTTGCAGGAGCTCTCTAATCAGGCGCGCTACCTGCTTTCCATCCTGCCTTTTGGGATTTGAGGTGAGGCTCACCCTACCAACCCCACATAGCTCAGAGGGTGCAGCCGTGTGTGCTCTAGAACATTCTGGTTAGGGGTAGGTTAAAGCAGCATTATCATGTCTTTTGGAGCCCACTGGGCTACATTCTAGTCTTGGTTTCTTCTTGGGTGAGCCCATTAGGTCAAAATTTATTTCTAAAGTAAGAGAACAGAACTGGGTACCTTTTAAGCTGCTTCTGGCTTCTGTAATCATGCGAGGATTACAGAAGTACTTAGAAAAACTTTGCATAGTAATACTTTAAGAAGTACAGGACTGGAAGGGCCCTGAGAATCATCTAGTTTCTTTCCCCAGATGGATTTAAATTCTCAAGTTACATAAAGAACTCATCACATTTGAAGGTAACTGGGGAGAGAAATGAATGAGCATTTGTTGAGCATTGGCCATGGGGCAGGCTACTGGGATTCGTAGAACAACACTGCAGGAGGCCGGTTACTCTTGTGGGTGATGGCAGGGAACTTGGGCTTGGAGTTTCACAGGTTGTGGAGCTGGTGAGTGGCAGTGCCTGGATTTGCACCCAGCCTTGTGGACTTCTAGAGTCAGAGCTCTTCACTCTGGTCTACACAACTGCTTTATTATAATTATTTTTGGAGACGGAGTCTCTCTCAGTCACCCAGGCTGGAGTGCAGTGACTCAATCTCAGCTCACTGCAGCCTCCGCCTCCCGGGTTTTAGTGATTCTCCTGCCTCAGCCTCCCAAGTAGCTGGGATTAGAGGGGCCTGCCACCACACCTGGCTAACTTGTATTTTTAGTAGAGATGGGGTTTCACCATGTTGGCCAGCCTGGTCTTGAACTCCTGACGTCAGGTGATTCACCTGCCTCAGCCTCCCAAAGTGCTGGGATTACAGGTGTGAGCCACTGCACCTGGCTCACGCAACCACTTTAAAAAAAGACTAATTTAAATACTTCTCAGTACCAAGAACCCAAGGGTAAAAAAGAGTCATTTGACTGACGATGAAGTGAGGCAAGTTTGAGACTGAGTGTCCCCTTGTACAGATGTAGCTGCTGAGGCATGGAAGCATTAGGATGTGTCCCCGACCGTGGATATGTCAGTGCAGCATCAGGGCTAAGACTCTGGGTGTTCTCTCCTTGACTTACCTCTTTCCACCTAGCTTAGAAGGGTCTTGTCGAGAGAGTCTGATGTGCAGGTGAGATTATGTCTCCAAGTCTAAGACATGGTGGGCCATGTGTGACTGCCAGTTGCCTCTTCTGCACGTGCGTTCTGAGCGTGATCTCACCTGTAAAATGTCCGTAATCCTGGGTACCCCAAGGTGCAGTTGTGAGGCTGCATGGGCTGACGCGTAGGACAGAGAGGGGCTCATTAAATGTTGTTTTCCTCCCTTCCAAATGAGCTGGATTTGGAGGGAAGCAGACTTCCCGAGAATCAGCGGCTTGTCTGTAAGGTAAAGTTATTACGACTGGAAACTGGACACACTAATTTTTTCGTTTGTGTTTGAACTTGGATGGCCTTCACATGGCTGCATTCTGTGTGTCTAGGCTGCGGTCCCTGACTGGGCATTTGCCAAATACAAAGTGATTTTCAAACTAAGTCAACCCCATTGCAATGTGTACTTCAAGGCAACATTTGAAGAAGGTATTGGTTTCAAAAACAAAACAAATCTACACACAAGAGACATACATACGTGTCCTCACTGGACTGTGTAACGTCGCTGACCTGTGAGATAGGACAGCTCTTTCCTGTTCATACTGGCATCCCCATCTCTTTTGACATACCGCAGTGGTAATTGTTTACTGTTATGAATAAACGTTAATAGGCATTTTTCACATTGACAAAAGCGTTTTCTTCAATATATAACAGCTACTGAAAAAGAACAATTAAAATATTTCAATATCACTCCTTGCTTTGAGTCATCCTTGGTGAGATGTAGTTTATCTAAGCAGTCACAAGAGTCATGCAGGGTCCATGACCCAGATGAGGCCTTGCGCACTCAAGACCTCTTGTATTGAGTAAAGTGTCGCCAGCTGCACGCAGCTATGCCCAGAACTCCTCCCAGGTGCGGTAAAGACGGTGCAGGAATCGCCCTTCGCCTGTGTGTCCAGCAGAGGGCAGTAGCGTCCCAGTTTTCCTTTCTGACACGTTTGCTTTTGCATGCTGCGGTTGCATAGCGTTCTGAGGCTCTTGGGTGGCTGACACATAATTGCAGACATTAAGCGTTTCTTAGGAGAGGCATAAAATGTATTGTGAGGGCAGTGAAATCCTTTGTCAAAACTTCTCTGAAGATCTGACCCCATACCGTGACAGTGCAAGGCTTGAACGTATGCCTGTCACTCACCAGCTTGTAGTCTCTTGCGTCCTGTGAACCTCATTGGCCAAATGTTTTTGTGTTGCTTTATTTTGTTCAAGTAACGACAGCACTCTCTGTGATTGTGTTAGGATACAATTTTACCCAACTGTCAATAAATGAATTTTGTCATTTTCATATCAAGTACTTCTGAGATTCCATATTCCCTTGAGCAGCAGAGTATTGGGACTTGATAAGAAGGAAGGAGGTATATGTCCTCTCTTTCCGCCTCTCCAATCATCCTCCTCTCTCTAGATTTTTCCTGGGAGCTGTCTGGCCGTTTGGCTTAAGTGGAAACCACGGATAATTTTCTTTCTTTTAAGAGAAATTAGTTCTCGAAAGGCAGAAAGAAAAATAGAGAATTTTGGTGAAAGCCTTTGGTGAATTCTCTTTGTGTTCTAGGTCAGCCCTGGATCTGGGTGGATGGAAATGCTGTATGTCACTTATCAAAGAGGTTGCTGCTTTATACGGGCCACAAAAACTCTTTATATGGGCAAACTGTAATAAAATGCTATGGGCATAGTAGTTCAGAACCACTAATGCTTATATCTCTTTGGGAAAAGTCATGAAAAATATTGGGAGATGAAAGCAGGGTGTGGTGGACCCCATTTAGTTTGTGCTCTAAGCCCCCTGCTGTTTGTGGTCCGTGCTGGAGCTGACCAGTGGGCAGTCACATTGCAGACCACATCAAATTTTTTTTTAAGTAAAGGGAGAAAAAAATACAATGGACAAAATATATATCCATAGCTTGGAAATGCTTGGAATAACCTGCTGTGCATGGTGGCCCCAACTTAGTGATGCAGTGGCTCTGGGACATCAGAAAGCCCTTGGAGGTCAAGGTTCAGAATTGTGTTCCTCTTGGAGAGTTCTCAGAACAGAAGCTCCTCAGAGTTGGCCATTTTGTTGTCCTTGTAGAGAAAGTGCCAGCACTTAGATCATAGTGAGTCTTCAGTATACGATTGTTGAGAGCATGAATGAATGAATGAATGAAGCACATAGTCATGTTTTAAAAATTAGGACCGTATCAACTGAAGATTATTTTTATTAGATACATATAATCCATATTTTCCCATTAAAAACTGAAATTTTTATTAAAAAATGTATTTTATTCTATTTATTATTTGTACTACTCTTTAAGAAATTATGTGGGTATGGTGACTCATGTCTGTAATCCCAACATTTTGGGAGGCAGAGGTGGAAGAATCACTTGAGGCAAGATATTCGAGACCAGCCTGGGAAACAGTGAGAAAGCCTCTCTAGAAAAAACTTTACAAATTTTCCAGGCATGGTGGCACATGCCTGGAGTCTCACCTACAGGGGAGGCTGAGGCAGGAGGATGGCTTGAGCACAGGAGGACGAGGCTGCAGTGAGTCATGGTTGCAGGACTGCTCTGTATCTTGGGCAACAGAGTGAGACCCTGTCTCCAGAAAAAGAAGACAGAGAGAAAACTGAACTCAAATCTTTATAAAATGGGTGTATTATACTACAAGTTTAGATACAATATACATGTCTAATCATTTCCTAGCATGCTAGGTATAGCGAGGTAAACAAAGAAACTGGGAGACAGAGTCCTTGCCCTTGAATTGTGCAATGTAATGGGGAGATGATGCCAGCCCACGTGAAAGTCCTAAGAAGGGGTAAGATGGCGTATTACTCAGGCTAGAGTTCTCCTTGGACGCTGAAGTAGAGCTTGCCTATGCCTGTTGGAACACCTGTCATACTCTGGAAATTATTTACCTGGGTATCCTGTCTTGCCTGTTAGAGGAATAAGCTATTGAGAAGCAGGGAGCCTGTCTTACATATGTGAACAGCCTTCACCGGGCCTGGGCAATAGTCGCAAGGCAGTAAATACTGGCTGAGTAAAGGAGCAGAGGCCAAGTGCTGGAGATGAGCCTGGCATTTGCCTGTAGGTGTAGGGTGGAGAGGAGATGTGGCTTGGTAAGAAATCCTGCTGACTGGAGAAGGGAGTTGGTGTGGAGAGTAGCAGAAGTGAGTGTGTGGCAGCTGATGGGTGTTGCCATCAAGGTAATCAGGGAGGAGCCTGGATGAGATGTGGCAGCAACAGGGAGCCGTGTGAGGAGGAGCACGGCACAAAGGCAGTGTTCCAGGTGATGAGCTTGGCTGTGATGCAGTGTGAGTTGCCGGGGGTGACGGAAACTGAACAGAACTGCAAAGCAATAGAATTTGACAATACAAATGCTTCTAAATCAGCTATTTTTTAACCTAAAATGATGGATATACATGAATAATTTATTGGTCCACATGGTTTCATAGAGATGGTTCTTTTTCAATAGAAGAGAAAAAAATTATTCCTAAAAGAGCACAATAAAATCCGCAAAGACGCTTTGAAACAATGAGGAGCTTATTCCTTTTGCATGTTCCAAGCAGATTTTTATTACTTAATGAATCATAATTTCAGTAATAAACAAGGGGGTAATAAATGACAACCATTAACAAGTAATGAATAGACCTATATGGAATATGGGAGAACCTCAGTTTGAAGCAAGAGATGGTTATTCCAACAGGATGATGGTGAATGTTCAGGGGAGCATCCCTTCGATGTACAAATGGTCTCACTAGGTTTGCAGAAGGCACCTTCACCCGGGAAGGTTGTGCACAGCAAGCCTCAGATGGTGTGACTTCACCGAGTCAGCTGGCTTGTGACCATCCACGTGGTGTTGCCCCAAAGAAGCAAAGCACCAGTGACCGTGGGTTACGTCCCGAAATAAGCTTCCAGTGGGGCTGCTCTTGAAGCCAGCAGTTGGGGACTTTATGGAAAGACATGTGTTGGTTGGCAGGGGTTTTTGGTTTAGCCTTTTCACCTCATTTGTAAATGTGAAAAAAATAATTATCATCCAGGTTATATGCGAGGCCCGTTCATTCTTTAAGTTCAATTCAAATAATCCATCCCAGCTCAGTTTTCTCTCTGCTCCCTGGACTCCACTCCGCTGTAGTGTTGAGGATTTTGTTTATTTATAATGACGCTATTTTATTTTCAGCACATCACAAGTTAGTAGCTACTTATATGTCCTTCCCTGTCCACTAGACTCTGATTTTCTTGAAGGAGAGGGACACATTTCATCATCATTATATTCGCATCTTCAGGACAATGGCTCTGGGGAGAGATGAGTTAACTCTTGACTGAAGACAGCTCGGTGTGGTGGCTGGAACCTCAGCTTTAGGCTGTGACGGATCTGCATTTGAGTCCGGTCTAGACAAGCTGTGAGAATTGAAGCACACTACTTAAGCTTTCTGAGCCTTTTCTCCTCTTAATAACGAGGATAAAGATACATACCACCCAGCATTGAAAAAGAATCAGAAGAGACAATGTAGGCCATTGTGAAGACTGGAGCCACTATTATGATCTCCGACTGCACCTGAGCCCTCCAGGCTGCACAGAAATCCTGTTTCCTTGATAGCATCTCTTTCCATTCACAACAGCAGCCTTATATGCTCACTTACCCGTTGGTTGTTTACAATCAGTTGACACCTATGTATTTAAAACTCATCTGTCCAAAGTTGAACTCATCCTCAGCACGTACCATTTCTTGTGTGCCCTGAAAGTTAGTAAATGAAATCACCATCCACCCGGCAGGCCAATCCACACACTTGGAGTTTGTCCTTGACTTCCTCCTCCGCTGTGCCCTCCACACCTCTTTAACCACGAAATTCCATCAGTACAGCACCAACTCCTCACCTTTTCTGCCCCAGCCCGGGCCACCAACATTCTCGCCTTGTTTCTTATGATAATCTGTTCATGGTCATCCTGCCTCCACAACCTCATTCCCCTCTGATCCACTCATAGTTGTAGCACACAAATGTGGTGAGGTCCCTGACCACCATCCCTGGCCGGGTGTATCTGTGTAACTGCGTTTTTATCACGGCACCTGCCACGGTGCATCAGGAGGTGTTGGAATCCTTCCTACTCTGTAAACTCCCTGGGTGGGGGGGCGCGTCATGTTGGCCTTGACCCCACTGTCAAGAAGCTAAGTGGAAGGCAGGCATGACACAAATATTTGGGAAAGAAGAAGAAACGAAGCAGCCAGCACTGCTAGTGGGGCGTAGCATCTTCTTTCCTGCTCCTCCTTATTCTTCCTTCTTTTCTCCCTTCTCTTTTCTGTCCCCTTTTCTCTTTTCTCTCCTAGTTATTACAGTTTTGGGTTGTCATCGCCATCATTGTATCATCCTCATCATCACCGAGGATCACCTATGATGACCTCTATTGTGAAAAGAAAAGAAAATCTCAGGACCCTAAACTCACTATGCTGAAGGGAAAAGTTGAACTTGGAAACTGAGTCATGTAAAAAAAAACCCCGCCTTTCCTTTTGTTCCTAAACAGACAGCTAGAGAAAGAAGGCCACGTGTCTCCCCAGGGGGCCTCCCTCACCTTGACAAAGTAAACTAACAGCTTATCTTCATGGTACTGGACAAGAGGAGACGAGGCACAGTCCCTCCGCCCACCTGAGATGAATGCATATTTGTCTTCTTCCTCTACTCCGTGTTTATTTTATCTCACATAAAGTGCAGATTTACTCAGCACGAGGTGAATACATAATCGATTGTTCCTCTACCTCCTCCTTGTCACGTGTGACATGTAGGTTCACTGACTGCTAATCGAAGCCTCAAAAAATGTGACTATACCTTCCCTCTCTTTTTTTCCCTTCTTTGCCGCCTGCCTACTTTATCCCTTTAAATACTGAAGCCCTCAAAATCCTCTTTGAAAAAAAGTGCTGGCCACAGACCAGTTGTGACTTGTGTCTCTTTTCCCCAGGCACGTCCTCAACCTTGGCAAAGTAAGCCTCTAAATGGATTCACACCCGTCTCAGACATTGTTTTTGTTTTGTTTTGTTTTGTTTTTTGAGTTCACCATCATAGCAGGGGATTGCTAGCAACAGTTAGGACCTGGAGGGGAGACCAGAAGAAGAGGCCGCTGGGCACGGGTGAAAGCAGTTCAGAAGACTTGGGGGAGAGGAAGACACCCAGGACCTCGTCAGCCTCCTGCCTCCCCCTTTTTTTGGGCGGCTTCTTTTGGAGGAGAGTAGCGAGTGTTCTCCTCAGAATGATCTGCCCGGGCATCAGCCTGCCGTTCCTAATGGAAACAGAAACGTTAACTCTTACTCTAGTGGTGGAGCCCCTTGGACTCCATCTGCAGTTCTCTCGAGGCCAGGATTCTGAATGAGCGAGATGAACTTTAATCTTCACTTCTTGTACTTTGGTTCTTATTTTCTGCCTCAGTGTCTTCTTCTCTTTGTTCATGGAGTCCCAGTACTCTCATGTCTGGAAACCTATCACCCTGATTACATAGAGATGAGATGATGAAATTGTCAGCAACTTGCTGAAAGTCACATGCCTGTGTCCTCAGAACAGGCACTGAGCTGTGGGTTCTCTGGATGACAGAATAGTCTTTTCCACATTAACTTAACCGGTGAGGACCCACTGGCTGGAAAACGTTAAGTTTGGAAACAGGCAAAGTGAGATTGTGCGTGTGTGTGTGTGCACGTGCGAGCATGTGTGTGTTTGCAAGTGTGTGTAATTGTGTGTGCGTGTAAGTGTGTGCAAGCAAGTGTGCATGTGAGTGTGTGAGTGTATGCGTGAGCGTGTGTGGGTGTGTGTGTGTGGAGTGTGTGAGAGTGTGAGTGTGTGAGTCTGTGGGAGTGTGTGAGTGCGTGTGAGTGTGTGAGTGTGTGTGAGTGTGTGAGTGTGGGAGTGTGTGAGTGTGTGTGTGTTGGGGATCGGTGGTGAGCAAGTGTCTTTTGTTGTCCATTCCTTTCTCACTGCCTCCTGCCTTACTCTCCTTACTCTCCTTACACATCCTTACTCTCTGCTTCCATTCCCTCTTCTCACTATTCAAGTTCTTCCGTTCTCTCCCTGTATTATGTTCTCCCCATAATTGCCGTCTTCACTCTTCCCCAAATCTCTATCCCCTTAATTTGTCCTTTCTTAGTTCTCCCTCCCCAGATTTATTCTGAAGGTTCAATGGACCCCTAAAAAATATGAAATACTGCATTTTAAGGGACATTAAAGGTATGTAATTTTGATTAATTTACACTGTAGCCAGTTATGTGAGAACTATTTGATGTCCAATGAGCCTTTGAAAAGTCTTAAAGTTTTTTCTGAAATTTTAACATTACATTTGTTGAGGAAAACTAACTCAAACACTTTAAGATCAATTTCTTCTTGGGAACTGTATTTCTTTGCTCACTAAAGGGTCTGCACGCCTATCTTTGCAGTTATAGAAGCTGCAAGAATTGAACACTGAGAATTGAGAGGGGAGAGAAATTCTGTTGTACGTTCCCACATCCTGTTCTTGAGGGGCTGTGGCAGGTTTGGAAGGGCAACAGTGTGAACACAGATTGAATTAAATACACTGGTGTCAGGGTGGGGTCGGGCAAAGGCAGGATCTAGTCAGCATGAGTCTGGATAGGCAGGATTTCTGGACGGAGGTCTATGGGACCAGAGTTTTTGCGGAGCAATGGGTAGAGGTTGAGCCTGGTGGAGCTTGGAGTCAAGCTCTGGGTGTGGAGGTCTGAGGCTCCCTTGTGGGAACAGGAGCTCCTGCTGCCCTGTTACTGTGGGGAGCTCACGTCTTCCTCCACCCCTCTATTTCTGAGATGGGACTTTTGAAAGGGCCAGGCATAGAAAAAGGCACAACTCTAGATCTTGTGGGAGTGTCCAAGTCTTTATTTATGGTGCATTATTCATTGTCTGTGGGGATGACCACACCGCTTGTGAAACTGCGGCTCCTCGGGAGCTGATCCTGCAGTTGCCTCTCTCTTTAGCATTCCACCTTCTGCGGTCTAATGCTTTCTGGGAACAAGGAGAGAGGACAGTGGCAGCAAGCCCTTTTCCTCTTTCCATCTAGGTCCCCCCAGGCAGGAGATTAAGATATGGGCTCAGTGAGATATCAGATCATTGAAGTTAGATGGCACAGGGCCATTGGTAAAAGCCCGAGGCCTGCCTCCTACATCTCTCAGGCTAGATAGTCTGGACTGTAAATTTTTATATGGTTTTCGTTTATATAGTTTAGAGAGTAAGATCAGAAATTACGGAGCCAGTTTTCTCCAACCACTTGTGACTGTGCCCTTGGGCATGCTATTTTACCTCTCTGTTCCTCAGCTTCTTAAACTTTAAAGTGGGCACACAGTAGTGTAAAAGCAAACACACAGTAGTTTCAGCTATTGTATTTATTGCACCAACAGCTGTGGGTGCAGTTCCATGTCTCAGCTGACAGAGGTGAGGAAGTCTTCCCGAAATATGACTACAGGTAGAGGCTGTTGGGAAAGCCGTGCTTTGAGGCCTGTGTGGTAAATCAGGTGCATTAGATTAATTACCTAATCTGTGGTAGATGAAGGCTGAGCACCTGTTTCCTCCTTTGGTTGCATCTTCCTGGACTGTAGCGGCTGCAGAGCCGAAAACTACGTTTCCCAGATACCCTTCTGCCTGAGTTTCTGGATGCAAATTGGCCTCACCAATCAGATTCTCTTAGGTACGGACTGCAAGTCAGAACAGAGAAGGAGGTGTCCTCCTGCTGGCAGGCTCTGCGGTGGGGAAGGAGGGTCTTTCTGTAGCCCTGTGCAGTGTCTGGCCACCAGCTTGGGTGGGTATAGAAGGCAGTTGTCTCTGGATTCCTGCCTTCCTGACTGGGCCATCCCTCTGGATGGCTCTGCAGGGTTGCTGGGGGTCCTTCCTGGAGACTCAGCCCAGAGGTCACTCCTCCTTTCAGTGTCATTAGCACCCAATCTTTACACTCCCTTCTGCAGGGTAGGCAGTAATTTCTGCTTTTTACAACATAACCTTGATAACCTTGATATTTAAGTCTATGGAAAGCTAAAGGACTTTTCTGAGGCAATCTTTTCTGATTTTCCAAGGCAGGTAGGTCACACTCCTTAGCTGTACAGTCTCATTGGATTCCCCACTTGCTAGAACTTTCCTAGGCTTCCTCATTTATCAGCTCATGCTATGAGGACTCTTAGTCCTTGTAAGGTGTGTCTAGGGATTTTCCTGTGTCTCACTTAATAGATTTTTCTCAGGTTGACTACAGGAGGGAGATTTGACTATCAATAGTGGTATTGGTGAGCCCAGTAACTATGTGATGGGACCTGGATATGATGCAATCAGTCAGTCTGACAATGGGGAGATTAAGGTCCAATTGTTCTGCAGATACCACACCTGGCATCCTGTCTAATGTAGACTCTCTCTGTTAGGTGCACAAGTGAACTTATAGCATGGCAAATGAGAAATTATTTCAGTTGGGCCCATAGTTTTGTCTGCATATGTTAATAAGATATTTGATTCAATGTCAACTTAGATCTTGAGAGGTAGAAAAGAGATTCTGCCAGAAGGTCAAATGAGCTGATATCTATGATTGCAAATCCAGCTGAGGATGAAAATACTGGATGAAATGTGAAAGGTAACTCCCATTGTGGGGATCTTGTATAACAGAACAAGGTGGGCACAGCTGTGTGGGTTCGTTGCTGGCTTGGATAAGCTGATGCTCAATGCCGAGAGGATGGTTCTTTCTCCACAGTGCATGTCAGTGGTAAGTTCAGTAGTTCAATTGCACAAGCTAAGCAATTAGCACATATTTTTTAGAAGTTATTTTTGTTTATTTTCATTTTTAAACGTCTATTTCTGAATATGCAAAATCTAAGCTCAGTGGAAGTAACTTGCATAAAACAGACACCCCCATAAGTGTTAAAAAACCAACCACGGGTCCTAGAGGAGGGAAGGTTGAAGGTGGAGAACTGTGGTATGAAATTCAGGGAGAATCTCCACAAAGTTCCAGGTGCTGTGTGCTCCTTGTTGGAGAACAGATGAGTGTTTTCAGGAGACAGGGAGGATTTAGTGCCCAAGAATTGCAGTCGGGCACAGTGGGGTGTGGTGGGGAGTTGCCAGGACCAGGCTTAGCTGAGGGCAGGAGAGACTGCTGGAAACCATAGCTATGAGCATATCCCGTTGAACAGCAAGTTTTGGTGCATGTGGCCAGCCAGCAGGAGAGAGGGCCAGGGAGCAGTGAGGCGGACTCTGGAAGCTGCAGGGAGGCGGGCTCTGGAAGCTGCAGCGAGGCGGGCTCTGGAAGCTGAGGTGGCTCCACATTCTGCTGTCTGTGCCCTACCATTTTTATTTGAGCCAGTTTAATTTTTTTTCAACTAAGTCTCCCTCCCTATCTTCTTCCTCCTTCTCTCCCTTTCTTCTCTTCCTTACCCTTTTTCTTCTGACCTCCATTTAGTTTTAATTCTTTTTTTTTTTAAAGTTGCATATGTATAGTGTGAAGAATTAAATAATTCCATAGGGTCTGTTGTGCAGAATAGTAATCTGCTATCCTCCTCTTCCATTACATCTTTTCCAGAGGAAATATAATAGCTTTAAACTTTACTGCCTTTTTTTTCTTTTTTTTGGTGTTTGCCTCTATATTTTAAAATAGCGTGCTTTTATTGCTACTTTTCAAGAAATTTTCAATTTCAGGCATTATTTATGGAAGCGAGGGCTTTCCTTTCTTTCCTCCTCCCTCTGCCACAAGCATCCTCCCCATTGGTTACACTTTTGGTTAGATCAATATTCATTGTTTTCATTTATTTTGACTTTTGTAACTGTCACTCAGTGCTGAGCCTGTGGCAAATTATGATTGCTTTTCCTTTCCTATATGACTTTTTGTCTTTTCTGGACTAATAGCTGTTTTTTTCATTGTTTATGTCTGTATGTTTTGATTACTAATTTAACTCCAAACTCCCTGCTAGTTGTCCAAATCTCCTTTCTCAAATTTCCCAGACATTAGGTGTTCTGAGACTTCTGTCTTCTTGAGTAAACCTTTTCCAGAAACTTTGGGCCTGATTCAATGCAGGGTTCTTGCTTTCAGGCCCCACGCTCAGCTGTATGTTCCTGGACTTTCCCTCCACCATCACTGTAGGGATTCCCTTCTCACTTTGCTCCTCTGTTTCCTTGCTTGAGCCTTCCTCTGATTTCGAATACCTCCTTGTTTTGGGGATGCACCTCCTCCAGGAGCTTGCTGGTACAGAATGCATGGGACTCTATCTGTCAGGATTCAGAGGGCAAGCTCTAGTAAGAAACTTCAAGAAGCATTTAATAAAGGGATGGTTTACAAAGATGTGGAAGGCTGAAGAAACTTGGGGCCAGTACGAGCAAAAGTCTTTTTCCATACCTAGGTTTGGGGTCATGGGAAGGAAGCAGTTACTGGGATCTGCAGACAAAAATATATTTGAAGGTAGCAATCAACCCACATTGGTCTTGCGGGAATTTTCTCATTTTGCTCATTTTGGAACTCCTACCAGACAATGATCATCCTGCACTGATGGCCTTTTCTTCTTTATTTTATATAATTTAGAAATTTTGCCCTATTTCCTGTGAGGTTTATTCAGTTCTTTTTTCTAAACTTCTATAGTTTCTTGTGGGGAGGCAACATTTTACTATCGTATTTTACATTTCCAAGAGCTTGCTTCAGTCCTCTCAATGTTCATTTTTAATAACATCTTGTTCTTGTTTCATGATTGCACTATTTCCTCTTACTTTTCTGAGCATAGTAATAATCTTTTTGAGGGAAACATTGTATTCTCTCTAAATAGTTTTTCTATAGTATCCTCCAAAATGTGTTTAGCATGCTTTTGTGTTTATTTTTTCTTTCCTTCAGGTCAGTGATGTTTTTTTCAGATGGTTAGATTTCCTTGTATCTCTGGTCGTATTTAAAAGTAGAAGATGAAGAAGCTGATTGGAAGCCCTGAGCACATTTGTGGGTTGCTATATGGGCTCTGATGTAGGATGATCTGGTTGAGCCATTGTACTGGGGAATCCTTGATGGTTATACTGGTTATACTGGTTGTACTGGGGAATCCTTGATGTTAGTGACTTTTGTCTCTTCTCTTGGGCGGAACAGAGTCCTCAGAGAAAACCTTACAATCTTCTGCAGAGGGTGAACGTCTAGCAATGATCTGGGAACTAAAGGGAAGAAGATTGCTGGGGTCGAAGGAGGGCCTCAGCATCCAGGATCCAGTTTCACTTCATCTTCCCTTTTCAACATAACCATCTCTGACGACATCTTGAACATTTACATTTATCTTCTCAAATGACTAGCCTTCCATTTTCTTGCTAGAGTGTGGATCTGGAAGTCTATCTGTTTTTAAAGTGGCTACCAAGCCGTCCTTCACCTTCATTCTACTTCCAGCACCTCAGGGTTCCCTGCTGAACCTCTGGGAATCTCATGGCTCAAATCCAACTGGCCACTGGCTTCCTTACTGCTGGTTGAGTGAGGAGTCATCTTTCTTTGGTCCACCAAGTCAGTTACCACCTGCCTTTCTGCCTTCTAATTATGGTTTCTTTGATCTTTCTCCATATCCTTACAGGTCTAGGACCTAAAAAAATTACTTTTATGGTGTGTTAGTGGAGTTCTGTGAGGGTGTGTAGAGCTAAATGTTGAAATTTTAGTCTCTTTCCTAAGGCAATTCCCCATTCCTAGAAGAAGACAGCTACATGGTCCCTCACCAGAAAGGCTGCTTTCTCCTGTATGAATTGGGCTCCAGCTGGAGATTGGCTGGTCTGTGGGCTGGTGAAAAATCAGGCTTTTATTCATGGCTGTGTTGTTCCTCTGAAGCTCATTTTGCCTTCTGGAGACCCAGCAACAGGGCCATGTTCTGAACAATGGTGCTGTCTTTTCCTTTTTGCAGTACACTATCCTCCATTTCTGTGACCGCATGCAACTCTAGCCAGTCCCTAGCTCAGATAACCTGAATGGAGGCCACACCTCCCTGAGGTCCCTGGGGCTCATTTTCTGAAGGGCATCACCGGGACTGGAACTCCCAGATCATCTCCTATGTCCCATCCTGTGCCCCAGTCTTTTAATGAACCTTCAGATGATATATTTAAGAGATTTAATCATGGATTACTGCATTATACCATAAAACCTTTTTGCTTCCATGCAGTAACTTTCTGATGCCTGTAGCTCTACGAGTAACAAAGATGGTATATTCAGGCAGTATTTTTGTCTGTGAGGTTTCCCGCAAGTATCTCTGTTTAGCCAACCCAGGGACAACATCCTGTGGCTTTGTTTTCCTTTGGGAGCTAAACTGGCTCATTTTATCAGGGGTGAAGCAAGATAAACCTTAGGAATAAATAGTTTTGTGTCAAAAGTTGCTGCCTTGAAAATTTGTTTCCACAGGGTGTCAATGTGCTGATATTCCAATCTTGCAGAAATCGACTGGATTTAGTGGAATTAAAGTCAACTGGAAGACGATCTGTGGGGATAATTCCATGATTCAAAGCCTTCAGGGAAAACGTGTTTGCTCAGCTGCAGTGATTGAAAAATTGAAGGCAATGAGAGTCATATGTTATGCTTGGTTATGTCCTGCTCTGATGCCAGTTTGGAGTAAAGGCTGAACTTTGCTGTTGAAAGCCACTGTGGAAAGTGGAAACATTGACTGTGCGTTGCTGAGGGGAGGAATGTATTTACTTACCCAGAAATAGACGCATCCTTGTCTCAGTGGGCTGGGAGATAGTATCAATCCTTTCTGTTGCAACAGATCCCACTGCCTTCTTTTTTCAAAAGAGTAAATATTTAAATAGGTAATACAGAAAAGTTATTGCCATTTTTCCTTCATCAGCCATGGCTGGGAGTCAAAAGAGAGAGTGAGGCAGAACTCACACATGGGGAAATAATATTGTGGACGTTATATATAATCCTTTTAAAGTAACGGCATTAGACTTCGTGATTTGCAATTGGCCAAATTGAGAAAACTTTTCTCAAAAAGCCATTTTAAGATAAAAAATTATGAATTTTCTTAAGCCCTGTGATTAGAGTGTAACACGTATTTATGGTCCCCCCAGGCACCACCCAATAAAAATGGTTAAAACCTTTAGTACTTTTAGTAGTTCACAGTTTTATGGCCAAAGTTATTTTGTAGATTTTATGCTTAAAGCAAGGTCAATGTATTGCACTGTATAAATTATTCTAAGTAATTGCTCAGTTATTTTATAGCTTAGTCACAGGATTTTTTCATTATTAAACGTAGCCTTTTCTTTAAAGTTAGGATGAGAAGGGCACGATAAATCACAGAGCAGCTTGCCATTGGGGTTTCAGCTTTACCTGTGATAAGGGTTTAATAACAATCTGGCCCAGACACCAGCTCCCTCTCAATTACCTTTCCACATGGGCATTAGTTCACACTGTTTATTAAAAACTCCCCTTGTAGTTCTTAAATGGAGTGTTTCAGATTAATGGCCCCCACGGAGTTTAACTTCATTGCACTTCATTAAAGCTAGATTGTACAAAAGGTTACTTCAATTAAATCCAGAATGCGACCTTAAATCTGTATAGATTTTTTTCAGAAAATGTGATAAAATTGCTCTGCCAATCCTTCAAGATTAACAAGACAAAATCCCTTTCAGTAACCAAAGTACAAAAATTTGTGTGCCTGTTCTGAGTTTTCCTCTGGCTGTACAACTGGATTTTATAGAATTAGAGGACAACTCGTGGAAAGAGCCTGGAGTTACAAATGGATCAAGTTACCGGAGAGCTGAGCCCCAGTGTGAGGCTGGAGAGTTTGGGAGACCTTTTGTTCCCCTTGAGTGGATGCTGTACATTTGGTGCTTTAGAAAAAAAAATATTTTGCTTCCCATATAATAAAAATATTTTTCTAAATAGATTGGTCTGTGTCTTTTCAAAAAAAAAAAGTGACGTAAAATCTTCTGAGGTTTTCTTCCTTAGCTACTCCAATCTGTGAGGCGCAGTTTGTGGCAGTTCTTAAACATTGTTTCCTCAGGAAACACGGGACAACTGGAGGCATTAATTACCCATCCTGCACCACGAGCATCTGGCCTCATTGTCTAGAGGCAACTGTGGAAAGTGATGCTCATTAACACCATGGCTCAGTAGCTCCATGTCATCTTTCTGTGAGTTTCAAGCGACTCAGTGAAGTCAACCCAGATCCATTTTCTGCTCTTTTTGGATGGACAAGATGCTCACAACCAATGCCCAGAATCTGCTTATAGTTTTAAAAGCTCTTCTATTGTAAATATTTTTTAAATGCCATTAATTTTATTTTTTGAGATGGGGGCTATGTTGTCCAGGCTGGTCTTGAACTCCTGAGCTCAAGTGATCTGCCTGCCTCGGCCTCCCAAAGTGCTGGGATTACAGGTGTGAGCCACTGTGCCCAGCCAAAAAATGCTATTAATTTTCGATTATTAAAAAAAGTTGGCCGGGCATGGTGGCTCATGCCTGTAATCCTAACACTCTGGGAGGCCGAGACAGGTGGATTCCCTGAGCTCAGGAGTTCGAGACCAGCCTGGGCAAGATGATGAAACCCCGTCTCCACTAAAACACAAAAAATCAGCTGGGCATGGTGGTGAGTGCCTGTAATCCAGCTACTCAGGAGGCTGAGGCACAAGAATTGCTTGAACCTGGAAGGCAGAGGTTGCAATGAGCCAAATTTGCGCCACTGCATCCCAGCGTGGACAACAAAGCAAAACTCTGTCTCAAAAAAAAAAGTTAAGCCTATATTGAGGTTTTAAGGAACTGAGGCTATCATTGTTACTCAGATGTCAGTGCATCTGAGTTTGTAGTATTGTTGCTGTTTGGTTTTTCTGCCAGTATTTTTTTTTTTTTGTCTAGGTTCTGTCTACTTTTCATGATCAAAACTGGCATTTACTAAGGAATCCAAAATAATCTAAGCATTTATTCAAATGTCTTATATATGCATTATACATGACGATATTCATTGCACACTTGTGCATAGGGTCAGGACTCTGCACAGAGAGAAGAGATGTCATCTGGGGAAAGTGACACGAAAGTCCTCTCACTGGGTACATTTACATATAAGTAATTTGTCTGGGTGGAGACACTGAAGATTTGTTTAAATACAATATTGTATGAAGAATGGAGGAGCCATTAAATGATTATCACCAATTAACAGCCAAGTTCATTAAACTAGCATGTTACTTATTTGGATCCTCAGGGGACCATCAGAAAATAGATATATTTTGACTTACAGAAATTAGCACACTGAGAACAAGTGACACTACGGACAGGTCGGCCCCACTCTGGTGTCATGGCGGGGAAAGGGTGGCACTACGGACAGGTCAGTCCCACACTGGTGTCACGGTGGGGAAAGGGTTTTGCACAACCGGAAGGGGGAATGAAGACCCTGGGCACTAGGCATTTTAAGAGCAAAAGAAAAGAATAGAAATAAGTGAGAAAATTGTATCCACTTAAGAATTTGGGATTGTGTTGTCTACACATATTGTAGGTTAACCAGTCTCCAAATGTGGTCTTATTCTCCAGATCACATTTGGAGACTAGCTACTACTAAAAATACAAAAATTAGCTGGGCGGATGCCTGTAATCCCAGCTACTCGGGAGGCTAAGGCAGGAGAATCGCTTGAACCCGGGAGGCGGAGGTTGAGGTGAGCTGAGATCGGGCCATTGCACTCCAGCCTGGGCAACAAGAGCAAAACTCCATCTGAAAAAAAAAAAAAAATAGATTTTAAATAAAAATGTTATTTAATTAACATGTAATAGGTTTATTATTACTATTTTAAAATAAATCACTAAATATTTTTAGATTGTTAGTTTGTGTTTTTTCTATGATAAATATTAATAAGTATAAATATAAATCAAATCAACAAAACTTTTTGAAGTCCAGGATACTTTTTGAGCCTAATGGGGTCCTGAGAGTCAAGTATTTGGCAGCCACTGATCTAGGTGGTGAATAGATTCCTTCCTCATTGTAATTTGTCAGGCATTCAAGAATTGCCTGTGGAGAATGCTGGCATTGAGAATATTGAAGTCCTGGGAATACCTCTATGCACGTACTTCTCCAAATGTAGTTGGAGAGAGAAGTTTTGCTAAAACAGCTTTCTCACATTTATTTATTTATTTATAATTCTTTTTAGAGACAGGATCTTGCTTTGTCGCCCAGGCAGGAATGCAGTGGTGTGATTGTAGCTCACTGCAGTCTCAAACTCCTGGGCTCAGGCGATCTCCTGGCCTCTGCCTCCCCAGTAGCTGAAAACAGCTTTCTATTATTACATAAAACAAACATTAAGGAAGATGGCTGTGACTGCAGGTGCAGCAGGGAATAAGTAAGAAATATGAAAATTAAAAGGAAGGAATTTGAAGGCATTAATAACAAGCTTATTCTAATTCATCACTTTCCTTTGGTATAGTAATTAGACTATTTTGCCACTGATGAGATTTTAGAATAGAATATTAATTTGTATCAGACTTAATTAAAATTCAAAAACAGGCCAGGCATGGTGGCTCATGCTTGTAATTCCAGCACTTTGGGAGGCTGAGACAGGTGGATCACGAGCTCAGGAGTTCGAGACCAGCCTGGCCAACATGGTGAAACCCCATCTCTACTAAAAATACAAAAATTAGCTAGGTGTGGTGGTGGGCGGCTGTAGTCCCAGCTACTCAGGAGGCTGAGGCAGGAGAATCACTTGAACCCGGGAAGCCGAGGCTGCAGTGAGTCGAGATCGCACCACTGCACTCCAGGCTGGGCAACAGAACAAGACTCCATCTGAAAAACAATAAAATTGAAAAACAATGTTTTGAACTAAAATGTCTCAAATGAGCATGGATAAAAAGTTGCAAGTTGTGACCTGCTAGTTGAGAATTGGAAATAATTGGGAGTCCTTGGATTGGGATGAGGAGAAGAGAAGGAAATTGTAGGATGATGTGCAGAACGAAGCAGCTAGTGGAGCAACAACAGCTCCTAAAGTAGGCGACTAGCATTTTGCAATAGTATTGGAATAAGTTTTCCATACAATTAAGCTGCACCATTCAAGTATGACTAGAAGGTGACTGGCTTCACTTTTAGACAGGAATCAATGGAAAAATCTCACTGGAGGACTTTGATGGCATTGGTGGAGATCATGAGTCTAATCTTTGACCAATGAGCAGAAGCTAGGGATGGGGTTGGAGATGCAGTTGGAGAGTGAGAAGAAGCAGTGTCCACATAAAGGAAAGCATTCTTCCCATAGGAAAAATGGGGCACTGGTCAGAAATAACAAACACGCCCAGTCAAATCCTAAGTAAGTTTGCAGCTGGATTTTTTCCAGTAATGTCTTCACTGGCCTTTTGTCCTTGAGTTATTCTCATCTCCTGCCCATCAGTGCCATATTAATAACCTCTCCAGACCCATTACATTACGATATTCTTTGCTTAAAACTTTCAGTCACTTTTATTACCTACTGAATTAACTTCAAACACCTTCTCTTGCTATTTAAGGTGTTCCAGAACTTGGTCTCACCCTGACTTTCTAGTTCCATCATTTTGACTCCTTTGCAAAAGCCAGAGTTGTCTGTTCTTTGAATCTTGTATGCATTGAGCAGATTCTTATCTCCATTTGCTTACCAATGACATAACTTTGCACTTATCATGTTCTCCTTTTATCCAAATATTAACTACTCTTAAAAGTCAAGCTCAGCTATTGTCCCAGCTACTCAGGAGGCTGAGATGGGATGATCACTTGAGCCTGGGAGATCAAGGCTGCAGTGAGCTGTGATTGCCCCACCCCAGTGACCTCCAGCCTGGATGACAGAGTGGGACCCTGTCTCAAAAGAAAAAAAAGTCAAGTTTAGGTTCAGTGTGCAAAAGAAAAGAGTTGTCACATAAGGAATTAGTTGGCCCTGAAATGTCAGACTTAGAGTGTTGGCTTCTTTTCCTAAGTCTTCCTTGCCTAAGTCTTCCTCTCCTAAGTCTTCCTCTCAATCTCGTAGGCTCAGAAATCTGATTTTGTTAAAAAATCATTCTCAGTATTGGGCTCAAAGAAGCTGAGCTTACAAGACTAATTTTAAATTACAGATTTTCCAGTGTGAACCCACAATGCTCACATTGGCAAAATTTCCATTTGAACATCACACTGTAGACAGAACTTTTTAGAAGTCTAAAAATTTCTAGGTGATTGCTTTGCAAAGATAAGGCTAAAAACATTACTAAGTTTTCATCTCTGTAATGCAGATGGCCTTACTAAGGTCACCATTCTATTGAAGCCATTCAGCTAAAGCTCTCTAGAATTCTTCCAATGTTTGCATTTCTGACTTTTTTATTTTTACTTTTTGACAATCCATTTTACTATTGGCACATCCAATTATTAGGTCTTTTCATGTGATTAATGAGATTATTGTTCATTTTTGCTGATCTGGGTGCAATTCATTCTGTTTTCTTAAGGAGACATTACCTAGCTTGGTTCTGAGTCTTTATGTCTTGATTTCACAATCTAATTATTCAAGAGTAATCTTAAGTTTCTTCCTTCCAAGTGCTTGGAAGAACATTTTATGATTTTACTGGCAACAATCATTATTTGATCTTTACAACAACCCTTAGGCAGACAGGGAAGATGAGTATCACGCTAATTTATAGATGAGGAAGCTGAGCCTTAAAGCATTAAGGGAGTTGTCTGAACTCACACATATTAACTGGATCAATTAGATCTCAAATTAAGACCTTTGTTCTACTACAGAACCGCCTGATGCAAGGACCACTTCTTCAGGCCAATTAGAGCACCTAGCAATGTGCTGGGATCACTGTACGTGCTTAATATATATTTATTTTAAAAAAGAATGAGGATACTACTATGACAAAAAAGTGAAACAAATTACCAGTTTCACAAAGTTAATTGTGAACTCCTAGGATGCATTCTTCATTGTCAACTGTCAACCCACTAAAGTAATTTTGGCTTTATGATTTGGAAAATGAGCATGATAATTCTTCCTGGTGTGAATTACTCAGGGTATGAGTGGACCATGAAGGTTTAAGATGAGTTATTGCAGTGGTCATGAGTCACAGTCGTGTGGATGAGGATTTAAGAAGATACGTGACAGGAGGTGGAGGAGCACAAGGCTTTCGAGACCATGAGTTGTAAGGAAGGTCAGGACCCTGGATAGGTCCCTGGTGCATAACAGCTGTAATTGTGAGAAAGCTTTCTTCCAGATTATTATCTTTTATTTAGATTTAAGCTTCCCTGGGTGACGTCTCCCCCGATGGAATTCTTTGGCTTGGTTATGGAAGATTTCAGAGTTTGGGGGAAGACTGTATCAGCGAGGTGCTCAGTTGCAAACAACAGAAATAAAGTCTGGCTAATTTAAGTAAGAAATTCAGAAGAAGCAATATTTATTAGAACTATATTTGGAAGAATCAATCACGCGTCTGGAGATCCATACTCAAAAAATGTGTGGAAACTAAGTGAAATTAGGCAGCTGAGAACGCATGGTTAGCACCACTGCTAGTGGACAATCGCTGGCCTGATCCTGCTGTGCTTTAACTCCACTGCTGCATGGACTTTACACAGTCGCTACTTTCCTCAGAGCTTGGCATTGCTTTCTCAAGATCCTAGAACTGGCTAGAGCTCTGATTGGCAAAGAGCCTAGAGCTGGCGAGAGCTCTGATTGGCCAAGATCCTAGAGCTGGCCAGAGCTCTGATTGGCCAAGATCCTAGAGCTGGCCAGAGCACTGATTGGCCAAGATCCTAGAGCTGGCCAGAGCTCTGATTGGCCAAGATCCTACAGCTGGCCAGAGCACTGATTGGCCAAGATCCTAGAGCTGGCCAGAGCTCTGATTGGCCAAGATCCTAGAGCTGGCCAGAGCTCTGATTGTCCAAGATCCTAGAGCTGGCCAGTGCTCTGATTGGCCAAGGTTCTACAGCTGGCCAGAGCTCTGATTGGTCAAGCCTCTGCCCTAGCTTCCTGGGAGCAGAGTTGAGATGTCTCCTTTCATTTGGCCTCTGGAATGTTCTAAATAGCAAATGTGGGTACCTTTTTTTTTGGATGGCTGGGCCTGGTGGCTCATGCCTGTAATGCCAGCTATTCAGGGGGCTAAGATCGAAGAATTGCTTGAGGCCAGGAGTTTGAGACCCCTTATCTAAATACATAAAAATAGGCAGTTGTGGTGTGTGCCCGTAGTCCCAGATACTCAGGAGGCTGAGGCAGTAGGATCGCTTGATCCCAGGAGTTTGAGGCTGCAGTAAGATGTGATCGCACCACTGCACTCCAGCCTGGGCAACAGGGTGACCCTGACTCTAAACTTTTTTTAAAAAAGAAAGAAAACAATGATTAATCTTTGCTCTGACCTCAGGCTTCCCACTTTTTGAAGAGCTGGGTGGGCTAATGGGCTGGCCTGAGCTTTTGTCTTTGTTTGTCACCACCCACCCATCAGACCACAAAAGTTGTTGCTGAAACTCCTCAAGTTCCCACATGCCCAATGATGACAAATAGGTTTAGTGCTCTGCTTACCTTTTCAGGTTTCTGGCTTGATTTAGATTCATAATTCTTAATATTTCTTACTTTCTTGCCAGAGTATCAATGCATTTTTGAAAGATTTAAAAACATGGTATTCCATGTCTACCTTTACTTTCAATCTGCCTATGTAGGTCATCATACATGCAGAAATAGGAGTTAGGACTGGTTCTTTGTAATTATCTTACCAAAAGAATAAGGTATGCACCTTGAGCTAGCGAACAACATGATGCCTGGGAAAACGGGGAGAAAATACATTCAAAAAACATGCCTGGATGATGCATCAGCGGGGCCAAAGTACTATGCTCAGCAGACAGAGCCAAATATACACATTATGGACAAATTTATTTGGATTATTTATTGTGAACCTGGTATTCCTTCAATTTAATAGTAGAATAATATCTTAAGCACACGCAGACTGGTAAAATAAAAGAACCAGATGGTCAAAATCTGAATTTAACAACTGTATCAAGCGACTGAGTCTACTGCCGTTTATAATGTCAGCTTCTGGCTGAATTCTGAGCATGTCTTGGTCTCTGCGGCTCAAGACATCTCACACAGGTGCATCTGTGTGGTAAGAGCCATGATGAAGGCAAGATGGAAGCTCTGAAGTTCAATTTCCTTCATGACAACTAAAAGATCAACGGGTAGACATGGCTTCTCTTCCTCGAAATGGTAGGATTAAATGTTGTCACTTCTCATGAACTTAACAAAAAGCTAGTCAGCAGAGTGTATTGATGAAGAAACACGTAGTTCAGCATGCAGTCAGACCGTTATGAGCCTGCCTTGTGGTTTTGGCACTGCGGTTTCTTTCATTGGATGTGTCAGTGTGGGCATGCTCCCTTATGCAAGCCTGAGCCAGCCATGCAAACTCCCAGCCTCTTTCTCTCATAATGTATTTTGGAACCCTGTTGTAAGACTATTAAAATATTTATAAAACTTTCAGGTATTGCGTATAATGCATTGATGCTAATTGATGCAATAAATGGATACTAATGCAGGATAGACTTTTCAAAATACTGCGATTTTTAAAAATATATGATCAGCTGGAATGGTATGTGAAATACAATATTAAATTGCAGTGTTGAAACTGCGAAAGGTCAAACAAATACCTTTTCCTCTGTAATATGTGCAATAATGTTTCATTTAACCAGCAATATTGGAGACCTAGGTATTTCATAAACATGACTTTTACAAGTAATTGAAGGTTACCTTTAGAGAACTTCAACATTTTAAAATTTTAACTTGCCAGGATGGAAAGCATTAAAGAGTTCATTGCCCACTTCCTGAATTTAGAAATAAGAACACGGAAAAATAGAGATTAATCAAACCCATGTTTCCACCACAGAGATTTTCCTTCTTTATAAATTGAGGATATTGAATACAATGTAATATTTTTAAAATAACTGTATGTTATTATTGTAAACATTATTATTACACCATGCTGTGTGATAAAATATACTCAGGGAGTTTTGTGGCATATGGGGATGGTTCAAAATTTTATTTACCTGGTTATAGAAAATATGGAAAGCATAGAAAAGAAAATAAAAATGACTATAAACACACTAGCCAGAGGTAATCATGGTTAACATTTTAGTGTTATTACTATTTCTGAATACGGTTACTATGTTACTCTATATACACTTTTTAATTCTTCTCTACCCAATTAATAAATTGGGAATGTTTTCTCATAGCCTTAAACATCCTTAATGACTTGCTTTCTAATGATTATGTGATTTTGCCTCCTATGGCAGTGGCATCATTATTTTGTTAACCAGTATCCCGTTGATGAACATTTAGATTTATCCAGTTTAGCCATTGTAAGTAATGCTATAGTGACCACTTTGGTAAGTAAATCCTAGTGGACATCTTTTATTTATTTAGAAAGGGGTTAGGAAGTACTTACATCTTTTATTTATTTAGGAAGCGGTTAGGAAACGCTTACAGTGGGGTTTAGGAAGCACTTACAGTGGGGTTAGGAAGCACTTACAGTGGGGTTAGGAAGCACTTACAGCGTGTTGTGCACTCTTCTATGTGCTTGGGATTCCATCTTTGTTCTTGCAGTATTTATATTCCAGTAGGTGAGACTTACAGTAAACATAGAGAAGCCCGTTAGATAGTATATTAGAACGTGGTAAATGACATGAACTGTGTTCTCTTAAGATAAATTCCTAGAAGAGTCCTGAAACATTCTTCTAAAATGCTTTTCAGAATGGTTGTACTGATTCAGTTTTCTGTCAAACATGTTTGCATATCTCTTTTCCTATCTTTGAAAACAGGTGTTGCTAAAAAAAAAACTGCCATTTGGTTAAAGACAATTTATTTTATTGCTTATACTTGCATTTTTTTATTCTAGTGATTTCTGAACACATTTTAGTATGTTCATTGATTATTTGTATATCTTCCTTTGAAAAATACCTGTTTATGTCTTTCGGATAATGTCAATAATTTGAGGAAAATTGCCTTTGGAGAAAGGAAATGCCGTTCATTTTTTTGTGCCCATTTAGTCACCCAGTGTAGTAGATCTATCTCATTTATCGCTCCTGGAAGCTCTTCTTTCTTTTCCTTCTGTTCCTGCCTTAATTTAGGAGGCCTTAATCTCTTCTCACCTGGATTTCAGCTAAAAGCTCCAACTGATCTTCTTGGCTGCAGCCTTATTGGCTTCATTCCATCAAAGACACAGCCTCGTAATCACCTTCCTAAAATATAAATCGAGACACATCATTCTCTTCGTTAAAATACTTCAGTCACTTTTTTTTCTTTCTAAGTGAAGCTGAAGCCCTAGTGAAGTTTGCAAATCTTCCCATGACCTGGCTCCTGCATACACAGCAAACCTCGCCTTTCTGGCACATAGCAAACCCTCAATAGGTTTTACGTAATGGATGACATTGATCACTGCTAAAGGAGGCCCGGATGGCCATGGCTTTCCTCACGCCGTGGAGATTTAGGCTGGATCCTACACTAGCTGCTTCCAGATGACATGTATTGAGCAGTGATTCACAAACTTTTCATTCTTAGGACCCCTTTACACAGTTCAAATTATTGAGGACACTTAACAGCTTTTATTCACATGGGTCATGTCTATCTATATTTACTTTATTGAATACCAAAATGGGAAATGTAAAAAAATATTTATCAACTCATTTAAAATAATATTAAGACCAACACATTTTAATGTAAATAACATTTTATGAAAAATAATTATATTTTCCAAACCCCTCAAAAATTGGTGAGAAAAGGGAAATTGTTTCACATTTTTGCAAATCGTTTAAATGTTTGACTAACAAATGACAGTTACAGATGTGTGAATGAGCCCAGTCCAGATCAGCTGAGTCTGGCCCAGAAGATCAGGCCTGCCCCAATGAAGCCAGCTCAAATTGCACAAATGAGCCCAGTCCAGATCAGCTGAGTCCGGCCCAGAAGATCAGGCCTGCCCCAGTGAAGACAGCTCAAACTGCGAGCCCGGAAATTGTAAGTGAAATAAAGGTTGTTGTATAAGCCATTATGGTCGTCGGGGTTCTCCGGAGAAAGAAGTAAGATACGATACATGAGAGGGAGAGATGTATTATAATGAATTGGCCCACACGATTGTGGGGACTGGCAGGCTGCAGGCTGGAGAGCCAGAGAAGAGATGAAGAAAAGAGAAGAGATGATGCTGAATCTGGAGCCCAGAGACCACCTGGAGGCAGGATTCCCTTTCCCTCCGGGACCTCTGTCTTTCTTTCTCTTAAGGCCTTCAACCATTTAGGTGAAGTCCACTCACATTATGGGGGTAACCCTCTTCACTAAATATCCACTGATTTCAATGTTAATCTCATCTAACAAATACCTTCACAGCAATATTTACACTGAGTGTTTGACCTAATATCTGGGTTCATGGCCTAGCCAAGTTGGCACAAAATCGCCCCTTGCAACGACCAAGTTTAAGATGGTGTGTTATGGGACAAAAGCCATCTGGCATACTTTGTAACCATCATCTCCGCTGGTCTTTCAACCCTGCAGACTCAGCTGTCTTAAGAATTTTTCGGCAAAATTTTGTAATTCCAAAATGTAGTAATTCCAAAAGGTAAAATTATTTTTCTCTGTGAAATTTTAAGCTTTTAAAATATAGTAATGTAGCAAATGGTTTAAAAATATTAACAATAGTTTTCTATAAACAGAATTCCTCTTTGTGACTACAGTTGGGTGGTACATATGTTCAGGAC
Organism: Homo sapiens; assembly: GCF_000001405.40. Classification (NCBI taxonomy): domain Eukaryota; kingdom Metazoa; phylum Chordata; class Mammalia; order Primates; family Hominidae; genus Homo; species Homo sapiens. The sequence goes on along the minus strand of NT_187543.1, from coordinate 102,075 downwards.
TGAATCCAGGCAAATAGGTGTCTTTCCTGGAAGATGGTTTTGGTTGTTGGGTAGAAAGTTTTCAGGTGTTTTTCTATCAATCATCTAGGAAATGTTAATTGACTTTCTTACCTGTTACATACTGGGCTGTGTGCTAGACACCGAGGTCTCAGCATTGATCTCTGTTCTGCAGGTATAAAACAAAACTAGATGATTCTTTTCCCTTAGGAGTGAATTTTTTTCCTTAAAGCAGTTTGCTCTTTTTCATATTCTGTCTCTATTCTGTGTATTTAAGTACTTTCACCAGAATAATATGCATTGGCTGCTCCCATGGAAGAAATTACCTGCTCCTTTCCACTCCCAGCTCCAAGAGCAGTGTGGAAATGAACGGAGCCAGCACAGTGCTCTGTGCCAGTTCTTTGTTGCTTTATTTTGTTCACAGATCTCTTGAGGCCAGGATTACCCATAGTGCGTTGTTTGTGTGTCTGCATTTTCGCGGCATAAAAGAGTTTTAAAGGCTCCAAATGGATATTTCCTATGATCTTGAATAAAAGAATCACTAGATGAAAGTGCTACTCACTTGAGATCTGCAAAACTTTCTAAACACAGCTAAACGTTGGCTTCTGAGTCTTGTTCAGTTCTGAAATAAGGCTGTCTGCCTTCCTCCTTATAAATTTCTCATGTGACTGCAAACATTCTAAATGCATCCTACTATTGTGGAGGATAAAATAGATGTTAGAAAGTTGATATAATCCTAGTAGGTACCATTTAAAGGAGCCTTAGTATGTTATGACACTAGCTAACCAACTTGTAAACATTCTCTAATTTAAGCCTTATGACAATCATGCAAGTTAGGGACTAGATTAAGAAAACTGAGGCAAAATGATATATTTAATAAAGTGCTTTGCCTAAGTATACTCAGCTAGTAAGTGGCAGGCTGAGCATGAAAACCTGAGTGTGTTTGACACCAGGCCTGTGGTCTAGATCACTCCACTATGTAGCCCTGACCACATCACCATTTGTGGGGTGAGAATGCAGTCCTAGCTCAGTGGGTAAGAGGATCCAGGTGAGATTACCTCTGATCAATCCTTTGCTTCTTTACTTATTCACTGTTATTCAATGGCTCGGTATCTCAGTTTATTCCTCTTTAAGATTAGAATAATAATGTAGCCTTCTTCCTAGGGTTGTTACAGGAATTAAGTTAATACGGGTATGGTGCTTGGAATACCACTGGCATATACTAAGTTCTCCTTAAATATTAGCTCTTCTTATAAAATTGAATGCAACTTTTCCATCAGGATGTCAAGTTTTTGGTTTTCTATGCAGCTAAGTCAATAATCTTAAATTTAGTTGCTAATGACTTTTAGATTAAGGTTGTGTCTATGTGATTCCAAAGGACAAATAAAGTCAATTTGGAAACAACTCAAGCCAATCGCCAATTCAATGAAAATGTTAGTTAGGCTCTTGTTTGGTGTCTCGAGGATAAATGTAGTAATTCTTTTTGTAAAAAACTTTTTAAAAGTCTTTCAGTTGGTTGCATGATTATGTTGAAGTAAGTCTTCAATTTATTAAGAAGCAAAACTGTTGGGACGTTAAGGCGTCTTCAGCGTGGCTTCACACTCCAAACTTCCACGCTCTCAAAGGGTCTGTAGAAGGTCTTGGAGGAATGTGTGGAGAGAGCAGAATAGTGGGAGTCAGGCCCAGCTTTCCCCAGGAATGTTCTAGGTTATTACATGAGCATCTCAGGCAGATCATCACTTGTTCTGTAATTCAGCTTTTCCTACTGTAATTAGTGAATTAAACTTTCTTACTTGGCTGCTGTCTGAGGGGCCTCAGAGCCCTTGCGACGCTCTGGGCACCTTGTGAGTGCTTCGAATGTACAACATAGAAACACAGGGCCAGCTGAGCCTACCATCTTTATCACAATGTACCACATAATTATAAATGTCCCATTTATAATTTTGTTTTTAAATGCATGTTCTTTCAAAAGGTTGTTACAATTTTAACAACAAATTTTGTTAATATTTTAGAAAACTGGGAAAATACAGAAAAGCATAAAGAATAAGACAGAAATCATGCAGAGTCTCATCATCATATAGCAGCACATTTATGTCTAGAAAATGGTTGCTTTAAAGTGTTTGCATGGACTAGGGATGTATGAAATTGTAGGACAAAATGAAAATCTGATTATTCATGTCAGCCCTAAGAATGGTGTTAGTACTTGATACAACTTACATTATTTTAGCTTTAAAAAAGAATGTTCATCTGAACTGCAATAAAGCTAGAATTATATTACCTTGAAAGGATGTCTCTGGGAGTTGTAAGTCAAAACAAGGCTGTATTACAAAAAATTAAATAATAATAATAATGTGGAGATAAATCGACGTATGTATCGAGAGTTATGTCTGTGCTACTTCGGGGCAGAGAGTTTCCTGTTTGGGTTGAGATTTGCAGAGCTGGTGATTTTCCAGGACTACATGAGGCTCCCAGGCAGGTCACCGAGGCTCAGTGCCCCTAGAGCACCGTCTCACAGCTCTTGAGGCAATGCCTGGTTGACTGTGTGCTGTCACTCGACCTTTTCTATGAAAGATGAGACGCTCTTCCCACTAATGGATGCAAATGTAAGAACTGGCTGCCTGAAACAGCAGTGAGGTAAGAATTACTATCTGAGGCCACATCAGCCCTGGCATCTGACTTATGTTCAATGAGCTCCTCTCTTGGGCTACACAAATAAGCATCATTGTTTTTAAGGCCAAATTCCTGAAACAGAATTCACATCTTGTCCTTTTCCCGCAGGCTGCAACTCTCCTGTTACTCTGGGGGAAAGCTTAACAACTAAGATTCAGAGCAAAGGAAGACGATGCCGGCAGCAGGCTTTGGGTGCTTGTGGGGCAGCAGGTTGTACCAGGGGCAGGTGCAGACCCCTGCCTCCCTTGCCTTCACCACAGTCACAACAGGCCAGGCCAGCCCATCCATCATGTCTCTAGGATATCTCAGGGGTTCAAGGCCACCACACCATTTGCAGCACACTCCACTCGCTGATCTGTGATATGGGAGATGTGCTTATTGGCGAATAAATCACCATGTCAAGTTAACGGCCTGTGTCCAAGGCGAGTGACTTCGAGGTCAGCATAGCAGCATACCATTGGATGCAGCGGGTTCTGCTTCTGCGCACAGTGCCTCATCAGAACATAAATTTTCAAATACCAGATGTGATAAAAGACAACATCGAGCTTTCTGTTTTTTGAAGGAGAGGAGAAGGAGATCCTGGATACATTCTCTGAAAGGTGCCTCCACTTCATCACTGATCCCGACACGTGGGAGGAAGGAGAGGAGGACAGTGAAGACCATCAGCAAGGGAGAGCAGGTTCCCTGCCCTGGATCCCTGCCCTGGTCCCCTGCCCTGATTCCCTGCCCCATGTTGTAGGTCTTTGGGCTACATTTCTACCCATTGGCTGAACATAAAAACTGTCCTATGAACTATTTGGCAGCAAGTTCACAGCAAAGAATATTAACTCTGTGAGGCACCTTAGACAATGCCTGGCTTAACCCCCACTTGACAAATAAAGACACATGTTCTGACTCACCCACCATCCCAGGAGCAACTGACCAGGCTGAGGAACTCTGTCCACTGCCTGCAGCCCACTTGGCCTTCCACTGTGACGTCCAGGCTGAGGAACTGTGTCTGCCACCTGCAGCCCACTTGGCCTTCCACTGTGATGTCCTTTCCAGGACTCTGAGCAGAGATGGGTTTATAACAAGCATAAATTGTTATTTTGTATCGATCTGCACATCAATTTATATATTTTGAAAATTAAAAGAAATCCAATGATAAGAATTTTTCTCACAAGTTAATTAAGGAAACTAGGTCAATGGAAATTTCTTAGGTTATGAAAATATTGATGTGAATATGTTATGTGAGAATCATTTCAAAATGAGTTAAAGGGGCTGGGCACAGTGGTTCACACCTGTAATCCCAGCACTTTGGGAGGCCAAGGTGGGTGGATCATGAGGTCAAGACATTGAGACCATCCTGGCCAACATGGTGAAACCCTGTCTCTACTAAAAATACAAAAATTAGCCAGGCATGGTGGCACATGCCTGTAGTCCCAGCTACTCAGGAGGCTGAGGCGGGAGAATAGCTTGAACCTGGGAGGTGGAGGTTGCTGTCACGCGACTGCACTCCAGCCTGGTGAGAGAGCAAGAGAGCAAGACTCCGTCTCAAAAAAAAAAAAAAAAAAAAAAACAAACCAGGAGTTACAGGAATCTAGGATATTTTGCTTTCTGTCCCTAAACTTTGGGGCTTAATTTGGCAGAAACTTGGGAGTGGGAGGGTGAAGTTTGTGGCGTCCTGCTTGCCTTGAATTTGTGGTGGCCACAGAATGCAGGCTTGACTTCATGCAGGTTCTCATACATCATTATGGAGAACATCTTTTTGTATTTACTTCAATATTTATTTTGTAGTGAAAATAAAAGCAATACCAGTTTTCTGAAGGGTTTCTTAAATCAATTCCTTTGTGTCCTATAGGGCAATACTTTGCTCCTAGAGAAGTCTGTGAACCATTGGTGTCTTTGATTTGTCTCATTAGAACGCCCACCCTCATACCATATGCTATCCCTCATGTATGCTGGAAGATAATAGTCTGCAGAGTAGCCTTTATGGTGAAGCCAGCTTCCGGTGCTCTGCTACTCTGCAAAAATCACATCTGGATAGAGAAGAAACCGGTGGCAAGATGTCTCTCTCTCAGTCCATGCAATGAACTGACTCCTACTGGTGGGGGTGAGGGGGATGGTGTCAGCAATGGTGAGATATATGTTTCAAATGTCAGCAACAAAAGAAGAGAGAGAAAGAGAGGAAACAAAAACAGCTGCTAACCCCTTGAGTTTGCTTTCTGGGACAAGTTAACAGCCACATTAGTTTCATGGTCTCTATCTGCATACTGAGGGTGGCTGCCATCCCTGCTGTCCACCCAGATTTGCACATCTGTGGTTCCATTGAGTTATGTGGTTTTGCCATTCACAGCAAACATGGAAAAGATCCCCACCAACCTGGTGAAATGGTTCTGGTTTTAGATTCATAAGCTATATAGACAATAATTTCTGAAAAGGATGTGTATTTAATGTGTTGACTGAGGAACTGAAAGGCAGGGTTGTTTACAAAAGACTCAAGTGCAGAATTTTGGAAGGTGCTGAGTGTTAGCTCAGCCGTGTCCTGGTAGGTGTTTTTCATTCATTCCTCTGAAACACATGGTGTTTTCATTTCTAATTTGTGGAAGAATTTAGTGCAAAACTTGGAGCACAATTATTAGGGCCAATGACAACCCACATATGTGGAATTTTGAGGACTTTTGCAGATTTTATGGATTTGGTGCAGTTCCACAGCAAACTATAAAATTATTATTGCAGACTAGAAGATTGTAAAAGTTAAAACACAAACTATCTGAATTACAGCGCCCAGCAAAACGTGCAAGAAACAGTTAAGTCATCACGCACATCCCTATAATTTGGTATTCTAATGCTTCGTTTGGCTAAATATTTTTATCAGCTTTTTGTCTTAATAATTTCTGGAAATAGGATGATAATTTTGTTTTCACAGTTGGTGATTGTATATGGACAGAAGGTATGAAAGAGGATGAGATTTCTAACTTTCAGATAAAAAGTTTGGCATATTCTATTAGTTCCACCACATTAATTTTATTACTTATTTTTTTCAGTTCTTATTTTGTTTCATTTTTGAATATGGTATCTGCTGTATGTTGATAATGGTGAGTTAAAAATTTATCAGCTGCAGCCATACGTCTGTCTGTTTTTTGTTTTATATATATATACTTTTGGGCTTTTTTATTTGGTATATTAAAGTTTATTCATGTCATATCTTTATTATTAGCTTACCAATTTAAAATAATACGATGCTCTTTTAACTCAATAAGAGACTTTAAATACTACATAGCCTGAAATGATATTACCAAATCTGCTTTTCTTTTGTATGTATTTAATTAGTTACAATGTACCCAATCCTTAATTTATGACCCTCTAATCCAGCTTTCGGTTGTTTCTAGGCAGCAACATCTTGTAACATTGTGTTGTTGGATTTTGTTTTGATTCAACTTAAGATACGGTAAACATAGATAGTGGAATTTAAGCCCTTAACACCCAATACCAATTTATTCTGAACTGTTTAAACTCACGATCCTCTATTTCTTTTCCTTGCTTATGGCTTTGTAGAGGCCGGTGTGCAGCACTAAGAGGGTAAGGAACGCAGTGGGAAATCTCTGAGCCCCATTAAGGGTTGTCGCAAATAGAAAGAGGCCAGGTCCTCTTGCTTGCTTTGTTGGTGGGGTTCCCTCGCACACTCATGCCTTCTTGAATGCTCACATTCATGCACTTTCACACTCACTTCCCCACGTTCACGCCTCACACAGTCGTGTATATAACATTTTCTGGTTTTACAGTGTTTAAAACTTAGCCTTTACGGGTGACTGATGCTTTTCTGGGTAAAATGCTGAGCACTATGAAGGGACTGCATGAGATCAAAAGATCTCCCACCCTGGGAGAAGTTCTGGCTGATTTGGGAGCTGATCCCTGGAGAATTTCTGGCTGATTTGGGAACTGATCCCTGGAGAAGGTCTGGTTGATTTGGGAGCTGATCCTTGGAGAAGTTCTGAATGATTTGGGAGCTGAACCTTGGAGAAGTTCTGGCTGATTTGGGGGCTGATCCTTGGAGAAGTTCTGGCTGACTTGGGAGCTGATCCTTGGAGAAGTTCTGGCTGATTTGCGAGCTGATCCTTGGAGAAGTTCTGGTTGATTTGGGAGCTGATCCTTGGAGAAGTTCTGGTTGATTTGGGAGCTGAAACTTGGAGAAGTTCTGGTTGATTTGGGGGCTGATCATTGGAGAAGTTCTGGGTGATTTGGGGGCTGAACCTTGGGGAAGTTCTGGCTGATTTGGGAGCTGAACCTTGGAGAAGTTCTGGTTGACTTGGGGGCTGATCCTTGGAGAAGTTCCGGGTGATTTGGGGGCTGATCCTTGGAGAAGTTCTGACTGATTTGGGAGCTGAAACTTGGAGAAGTTCTGGTTGATTTGGGGGCTGATCCTTGGAGAAGTTCCGGGTGACTTGGGGGCTGAACCTTGGAGAAGTTCTGACTGATGTGGGAGCTGAACCTTGGAGAAGTTCTGGTTGATTTGGGAGCTGAACCTTGGAGAAGTTCTGGTTGATTTGGGGGCTGATCATTGGAGAAGTTCTGGGTGAATTGGGGGCTGAACCTTGGGGAAGTTCTGGCTGATTTGGGAGCTGAACCTTGGAGAAGTTCTGGTTGATTTGGGGGCTGATCCTTGGAGAAGTTCCAGGTGATTTGGGGGCTGATCCTTGGAGAAGTTCTGACTGATTTGGGAGCTGAAACTTGGAGAAGTTCTGGTTGATTTGGGAGCTGATCCTTGGAGAAGTTCTGGTTGATTTGGGGGCTGATCCTTGGAGAAGTTCTGACTGATTTGGGAGCTGAAACTTGGAGAAGTTCTGGTTGATTTGGGGGCTGATCCTTGGAGAAGTTCTGACTGATTTGGGAGCTGAAACTTGGAGAAGTTCCGGGTGACTTGGGGGCTGAACCTTGGAGAAGTTCTGACTGATGTGGGAGCTGAACCTTGGAGAAGTTCTGGTTGATTTGGGGGCTCATCCTTGGAGAAGTTCTGACTGATTTGGGAGCTGATCCTTGGAGAAGTTCTGACTGATTTGGGAGCTGAATCTTGGAGAAGTTCTGGTTGATTTGGGAGCTGATTCTCGGAGAAGTTCTGACTGATTTGGGAGCTGAATCTTGGAGAAGTTCTGGTTGATTTGGGAGCTAATCCTTGGAGAAGTTCTGGTTGATTTGGGAGCTGATCCCTGGAGAAGTGCTGGCTGATTTGGGGGCTGATCCCTGGAGAAGTTCTGGTTGATTTGGGGGCTGATCCTTGGAGAAGTTCTGATTAATTTGGGAGCCGATGCATGGAGAAGTTCTGGTTGATTTGGGAGCTGATCCTTGGAGAAGTTCTGGTTGATTTGGGAGCTGATCCTTGGAGAAGTTCTGGCTGATTTGGGAGCTGATCCCTGGAGAAGTTCTGACTGATTTGGTAGCTGATCCTTGGAGAAGTTCTGGCTGATTTGGGGGCTGATCCCTGAAGAAGTTGTGGTTGATTTGGAAGCTGATCCTTGGAGAAGTTCTGACTAATTTGGGAGCTGATCCTTGGAGAAGTTCTGGGTGATTTGGGGGCTGATCCCTGGAGAAGTTCTGGCTGATTTGGGGGCTGATCCTTGGAGAAGTTCTGGTTGATTTGGAAGCTGAACCTTGGAGAAGTTCTGGTTGATTTGGGAGCTGATCCTTGGAGAAGTTCTGGTTGATTTGGAAGCTGATCCTTGGAGAAGTTCTGACTGATTTGGGGGCTGATCCCTGGAGAAGTTCTGGCTGATTTGGGGGCTGATCCTTGGAGAAGTTCTGGTTGATTTGGGAGCTGAACCTTGGAGAAGTTCTGGTTGATTTGGTGGCTGATCCTTGGAGAAGTTTTGGTTGATTCGGGAGCTGATCCTTGGAGAAATTTTGGTTGATTTGGGGCTGATCCTTGGAGAAGTTTTGGTTGATTTGGGGGCTGATCCCTGGAGAAGTTCTGGCTAATTTGGGAGCTGATCCTTGGAAAATTTCTGGTTGATTTGGGAGCTGATCCCTGGAGAAGTTCTGGTTGATTTGGGAGCTGAACCTTGGAGAAGTTCTGGTTGATTTGGGAGCTGATCCTTAGAGAAGTTCTGGTTGATTTGGGAGCTGAACCTTGGAGAAGTTTTGGTTGATTTGGGAGCTGATCCTTGGAGAAATTCTGACTGATCCTTGGTGAGCATCATGCACTCCCGTGTTTTATCCTCTGCGCATTAGAGAGGTCAGGCCATGAATGGTCTTAGATCAAGATGAGCACTGAACTTGGTTATTTTCTTCCTGACTTTCATAACCAGCAATCAGTGCATTATCGTTATCTTCTACTCCATGGATTTAAACCTCTTGTTTCTGTATAACAAACCAAACTGTGTACTTTTCACACTACATGTGATTTAAAAATAATGTTCCTAAGTTTTCAGGGGGTGTCTGTTCATCCTCCTGCTGTTCGTAATTATGCCAACAGTAGTAGCTACCACTGATTGCATTTCTTTACTGTTCTGACCGTCACTATGTACCCACAGCACGTTACCACAGCCCCTGCCTAAGGCAAGGGTGTTATTTCTAGTTGACAGATGCGGAACCCGAGGCTCCTGTAGCGAATGAACATCAGAGCACATATTTAACCCAGCTTTTGGCTCCAGAAGTCCTCGTTCTTCGTTGTTCAAGGAAGATGCCATCTGGGACACTGTCTTTCATGCACCAGGTTGGAGAATGGCATGAGTTAGGGAATCAGCCTTTTTAGGAAGGCAGAAGCTTACAGAACCCGGGAGGAGAAAAGCCCAGTGTCCCTCATCCTCTCATCTTTGCCATAGAGAAAACACGAGGACCAAGATATTTTTCTGACCAGTAGCATGGACTTGCATTCCACTGGGGCCACTCTGACTTTTACAAAGGGCAAGCCTGAAAGCAAACTTGTCGATGTTGAATGAGATTTCCTCAGTACCAAGCAGTCTGCATGTGGTGTAGCTGTTTATGAGAATTGCCTGGGAACACTAACTGCCCAGAACCTGGGTATCGTGGGACCTGTGGGGAAAAGGGGCTATGAGGATATCAGTGCTACAGGTCGCTTAGTGTCACATGGTCCCTATTTCCAGGGACCCAGTGTTGAGGATTCTCAGTGAGCATGTGTTTCAGGCAAGTCAGAGTGAGCGTCTGGAGCCACTTTGCGACAATCCGCTTATTGCTCCTTCTACAATCCAGCACTGTTTTCATGTTGTTTGGTAAATTTTGTTTTTTAATATCTCAGCAGGAGAATGTGTGTTTTGTGGAAGAAATGACCAACTAGTAGAATGCCTTCCATTTGTAATAAAATCCTTGCTGGGTTTGAGTTAATAGGCCTCCAAGGAAGAGCAAGTTAAAATAGAAATGGACAGGGTGCTAAATAAAATACTGTCCAGCATAATCTACTGCCCTCAAGGGAAAGAGCCAAATGACTCAATACGGGTTTTCCATCTTCAATTTCAATAGCCCGATGTCAGGATCAAGCAGCAGAACACACTGACTACCTCAGTATGCTCCCTGCATTCAAAGTTTCTTTTCCCATGGCCTCTTCTGCTCCTGTGATGCCATCCCCAAAACGCTTAAAGTGCACAGACATGAAAGTCCTTTTACTAGCATTGCAGATCGAGGGGTAGGTAGTGACGTTCTAAAGGAATGAAACAGAATGTGGACCACAGAGAGATCGGCAATTAACACTGCCACCTGTTTTAGTCATTTGTTTGTTTTAATTGGGATATTTATATATGGTTATAATCTGTCATTTGTATTAATGTAGCTATCTGTGGGGATGGGGAAAAGAAAGAATAGAATTAGTTATTCATTCATTTATTTATTTATGTATTTATTTATTAATGATTTTGAGACAGGCCTGGCTCTGTTGCCCAGGCTGGAGTGCAGTGGTGCGATCTCGGCTCACTGCAACTTCCACCTCCTAGGCTCAAGCCATCTTCCCACCTCAGCTTCTTGTGCAGCTGGGACTACAGGTGCACGCCACCACACCAAGCTAATTTTTGTATCTTTTATAGAGATGGGTTCTCACTATGTTGCATAGGCCGATCTCGAACTCCTGAGCTTAAGGGATCCACCCGCATTGGCCGAGTACTAGGATTACAGGCATGAGCCACTGCACCCAGCCTTGAAGTTTTTTAGTTCAATGATCTTGACGTTTTCAAGATTTGCTATGTAATGACGGCTCCATACCCCTTTCCTATCCATGGGAGTTCAGTTTCAAATGCACTGAGCATTCAAAGTAAGTCATCCTGGAAACAGCATGTCTGGTGATTTCCTAGTTGGGAAAATCTTCTGTTTAGCTGAGAGGGAAATTGCTATGGTTCGAGAAGAGACATTCTAAGGTGAAACTTAGGGGAGAAATATATTATCTTTACAGGAATCCTGGATACAAAACCAAACTGCTCTGGGCTCTACATGAAGAACTAATTTTATTGTGGGTTTTTTTTTTTTTTTTTTTTTTTTCAGAAAGTCTGAGGCTGATATGAATGGAATAGAGAAAGAGGGAAGGATGGTAGGAAAACACACCCTGTTTTCCAGCCAGTGGCCATAGCCAGCCTCATCCCCAAGAAGCCTAAACATTTTATACTTGTGTGAGTCTTCATATGAGCACATTCACTTCACTAGGGCTCCAGCGTCCTGGAGAGATGAATGGTTTCCATTCACAGATGACAACCCTGGTGGCCCATACTCAGTGACAGGAATGGTCCACAGCTGACAAACCTGGTGGCCCATACTCAGTGACAGGGATGGTCCACAGCTGACAAAACCTGGTGGCCCATACTCAGTGACAGGGATGGTCCACAGCTGACAACACTAGTGGCCTATACTCAGTGATGGGGATGGTCCACAGCTGACAGCCCTGGTGGTACATACTCAGTGACAGGGATGGAAGTCCTTCTCCATTTGCCCTTTATTAGAGAGATATATCAGGCTCACTGTGTGGAAGGAAACATTTTCCAACATACTCCACATGCACTCTGTGACGCTCATTGTCCTCTGACATGTAATTAAACAATGACACTTTTCTCCTAGCTTTCCTAAATGGCTAATGACAGAGGGGTGGTACCAGCTGCCCCAGGGTAAACTACTGAGCAAATCTAAAGGTGTGTCTTCTAGTTCCATCTTCTGTTAGAAAAACCAAATGCTCACAAAGTGCAATAACAGTTTAAACCACGACTGCTCTCTCACAATGTTTTTCATCAATCATTATAATAATATTGTTTTTAAAATAAACTTTGTTTTAGGAGATTTGCATATCTACAGAAATATTGTGAACTTAGAGTACACAGAGTTCACGTCCACCCTCGGCTGTGTTTATCATTAACGTCTTACAATATTATATATATTATATTAGTGCATTTATTATTATTCATGTACCAATATTGATATATTTTTATTACTTAAAGCCTATATTTTACTTACATTTATGTGGTTTTCACTGAGTGTCCTTTTCTGTTCTGGGATCTCATTCAAGATCCCAAGAAACATTTAGCTGTCAAGTCTCCTGAGGTTCCTCTGGCTGAGGCAGTTGCTGGGACATTTTCTGCTTTGTATGACCTTGCAGGTTTGGAAGAGCACTGATCAGGGGTACAGTAGGATGCCCCGTACTGAAATCTTTATGTTGTTATTCTCATGATTAGACTGGGGTCATGGCTTTTGGGGAGGAGAACCACAGAGGTAAGGTGCCATCATCATCACATCGTCTGAAGGGTACATACTGTCAACATGACTAATCACTATTTATGGTGACCTTGTTCACCTTGGCCAAGGTGGTGTTTGTTAGGTTTTCTCTTTCCATAGTGCACTCTTTAGAAGGAGGCCACTTTGTGCAGCCCACACTTAATGAGTGAGAAGTTTTGCTCCACCTCCTGAGGGTGGAGTATCCAGACAAATTATTTAGAATTCTTATGCATAATTTGTCTCATATCCCCCATTTAAATATTTATTCAATTATCTATTAGTAACAGTATGGACTCATGGATATTTATTTGGTACTTTGAGTTAAAATTATATATTATTCTATTTATTTTATTGCTCAAATTGTTCCAGTTCAAAAATTACAATAGTTATGTAGTGGTACTTTGTTGTCATTTTAAGTTGCAATTCTCTGTTGACAAACAATATTGAGCATTTTTTCATATCCTTATTTGGCATCTGTTTACCTTCTTTGGTGAGGGGTCTGTTCAGGTTTTTTTACATTATTTAACTGGGTTGCTTGTTTTCTTATTGTTGAATTTTAAGAGTTCTTTGTACATTTTAGATACACATTTTTTATCAGATATGCATTTTGAAAATATTTTCTACAAGTCTGTGGCTTGTCTATGATACTTTTAAAAATCTATTTTTACACTCTAATGAGACATATGAGAGGAGAGAAGTTAGTTAATTATAGGAGCCCAATCATGTCTCTACATGGGGGTGTGAAGCCTCCTCCCTGGAGGAATCTACTTTTCCTTGGTCTTCCAAATACATTGTTATTTCCAAAACCATATATGAGGAGTATAAAAAAATATGAGAATATATCAATACTCAAATAAAGAGAAAGTGTACTTAAAAAAAGAATTCTCACAATGACCAGTGAGGTAGATAAAACAGACATATATAAGCGTTCACGTTTATCAGATGCAGAAACTGAAGCCCAGGTAAGCCATATGACCTAGCTAGAGTCACTCAGTCAGCAAGAGATGGAGCCATGACTACACTCCTAGATTCTATCTCCTGGCCCCAAATTCACTTACCTACATCACACTAGAACCATATCATGTTAGCCAACAGACCATCAGTGTGTTTGTTTAAAGTGCTAACTTACTGATAATTCATGCATTTAACAGTGTATTTTTCAGATGCATTTGACCCTTGCTGTGTCAGATAAGTCACTTATTCAAAATGGAATAAGTTAAGATGTAACATGAGTCTAACTGCGTCTTTGCTTTCTTGGCACTGTATAGCTACAGTGGATCCTAAGTATTCTATCATCTGATTCTTCCAGGCAATTCTTTATTGTACTCAACATTTTAGTGGCAGTAGTCCTTGGAATTTGCTAATCATTTTCCTTAAGCGTTTTGGAGGAAAATATCTGTTACTTAGCCAGCTAGCCAATTAGAAAATTAAAAGTCCCTTTAGACCATAATTTACCAGTCTTGAGACTACTGGCTTTTGGGCTGGATAATTCTTTGGTGTGGTGGGCTCTGATATATTATAAGACGCTTAGCAGCATTTCAGGACTGTCCCTGCTAGATGCCAGTAGTATCCCTCCAGGATGCCACAACCATAAATGTCTCTAGAGATTGACAAGTGTCCCTTGGGGGCTCTATTGGTCCATTTTCACACTGCTGATAAAGATATACCTGAGATTGGGAAGAAAAATAGGTTTAATGGACTCCCAATTCCACGTGGCTTGGGAGGCCTCACAATCATGGCAGAAGGAAACAGGCACTTCTTACATGGCAGCAGCAAGAGAGAATGAGAACTGACTGAAAGGGGTTTCCCCTTATAAAACCATCATATCTTGTAAGACTTACTGTCACAAGAGCAGCACAGGAAATACGTGCCCCCATGATTCAGTTACCCCCCACTGGGTCCCTCCCACAACATGTTGGAATTGTGGGAGCTACAATTCAAGATGAGATTTGTGTGGGAACACAGCCAAACCATATCATTCTATCCCTGGCCCCTCGCAAATCTCATGTCCTCACATTTCAAAACCAATCATGCCTTCCCAGTAGAACCCCAAATTGTTAACCCATTTCAGCATTAATTCAAAAGCTTACAGTCCAATGTCTCATCTGAGACAAGGCAAGTCCCCTCTGCCTATGAGCCCATAAAATCAAAAGCAAGTTAATTACTTTCTAGATACAATGTAGGTACATGTATTGGGTAAATACAGCTGTTACAAATGGGAGAAATTGGCCAAAACCAAGGGGCTACAGGCCCCATGCAAGTCCAAAATGCAGCAGGGCAGTCAAATTTTAAAGCTCCGAAATGATGTCTTTTGATTCCATGTCTCACATCTGGGTCATGCTGATGCAAGAGATGGGTTCCCGTGATCTCAGGCAGCTCTGCCCCTGTGGCTTTGGAGGATACTGCCTCCCTCCCAGCTGCTTTCATGGGCTGGTATTGAGTGTCTGTGGCTTTTCCAGGTGCATTGTGCAAGCTGTCAGTGGATCTACCATTCTGGGGTCTGGAGGATGGTGGCTCTCTTCTTACAGCTTCACTAGGCAGCACACTAGTGGGGAGTCTGTGGGGGTCCCCACCCTACATTTCTCTTCTTCACTGCCCTGGCAGAGGTTCTCCATGAGGGCCCCACTGCTGCAACAAACTTCTGCCTGGACATCCAGATGTTTCCATAATATCTTCTGAAAACTAGGCAGAGGTTCCCAAACCTCAATTCTTGACTCCTTTGCACCTGCAGGCTCAACACCACATGGAAGCTGCCAAGGCTTGGAACTTGCACTTTCTGAAGCCATGGCCCAAGCTGTACCTTGACTCCTTTTAGTCATGGATGGAGCAACTGGAACACAGTCCTTAGACTGCACACAGCAGAGAGACTCTGGTCCCGGCCAATGAAACCATTTTTTCCTCCTAGGCCTCTGGGCCTGTGGTGGGAGGAGCTACCACAAAGGTCTCTGACATGCCCTGGAGACATTTCCCCCATTGTCTTGGTGATTAACATTCAGCTCCTCATTAATTATGAAAATTTATGCAGCCAACTTGAATTTCTCCTTAGAAAATGGGATTTTAATTTCTATCACATTGTCAGGCTGCAAATTTGTCAAACTTTTATGCTCTGTTTCCCTTTTAAAACTGAACACTTTTAACAGCACCCAAGTCACACCTTGAATGCTTTGCTGTTTAGAAATTTCTTCTGCCAAATACCCTAAATCATCTCTCTCAAGTTCAAAGTTCCACAAATCTCTAGGTCAGGGGCAAAATGCTGCCAGTATCTTTGCTAAAATATAGCAAGAGTCACCTTTGCTCCAGTTCCCAACAAATTCCTCCTCTCCATCTGAGACCACCTCAGCCCGGATTTCATTGCCCATATCATTATCAGCATTTTGCTCAAAGCCATTTAAAAGTCTTTACTAGGGAGTTCCAAATATTCCTATATTTTCTGTCTTCTTCTGAGCCCTCCAAACAGTTTCAACCTATGCCTGTTAGCCAGTTCCAAAGTTGCTTTCACATTTTTGGGTATCTTTTCAGCAATGCCCCAGTCCACTGGTACCAATTTACTGTATTAGTTCATTTTCACACTGCTGATAAAGACATACCTGAGACTGGAGAGAAAATAGGTTTAATAAACTCACAGTTCCATGTGGCTAGGGAGGCCTCACAATCATGGTGGAAGGCGAAAAGTACTTCTTACATGGCAGCAGCAAGAGAGAATGGGAACTAAGTGAAAAGGGTTCTCCCTTACAAAACCATTATGTCTCATGAGACTTATTAGTTATCATGAGAAGAGCATGGGAAAAGCCTTTCCCCGTGATTCAATTACCTCCTACTTGATCCCTCCCACAACATGTGGGAATTGTGGAAGCTACAATTCAAGATAAGATTTGCATGGGGGCACAGCCAATCCATATCGGGGCAAAGTCCCCTCTGTCAAGAACCACTACTCTAGTGTTTAAACTGTTTGATGACTAAAGATTTCAGCAGCAGTAGATTATAATATGTTAATTTCAAGAAGCTGTAGACTTTATAAGTAAGTATAATTTATTGTTTTGTATTTTTATTACTTTATTTATATCATAATTTGATCAAGCAAAACAAATTTAAATTTTCATTTCAAAATTGATAATAAAATGGAAGGAATAGGATTAAACTACAGGAAGGATAGAAAAGGCAAAATGGAGGTCAACTAGGGCTTAAATTTATTTTTGGCAAAATGAAACAATTTTCTGATTCAAAGAAATGTCCCTTATGGGAACATCTTTTGCCTTTTGTCTTTTCATTATAGAATCATAGAATCTTAGAGCCAGTTGGGCCCACAGAGATTACCAGGTGAGTGCTAGAGAAAGAAGGGTAAAGCATTGGTGATAGGTTCATGTTCCTTCTTACTGCAGCCTGTTAGTCTGAGTGCTGTAATACATATGACTTAATTATGGAAAATCTATAGTTAATTATAGCATTAATTATAGCATAGAGATAATCTGAAAATTGGCCGGGCGTGGTGGCTCATGCCTGTAATCCCAGCACTTTGGGAGGCCAAGACGGGCGGATCACAAGGTCAGGAGATGGAGACCATCCTGGCTAACACAGTGAAACCCCGTCTCTACTAAAAATACAAAAAAAAAAAAAAAAAAAAATTAGCCAGGCGTGGTGGCGGGTGCCTGTAGTCCCAGCTACTCAGGAGGCTGAGACAGGAGAATGGCATGAACCTAGTAGGCAGAGCTTGCAGTGAGCGGAGATCGTGCCACTGCACTCTGGCCTGGGCGAAAGAGCGAGACTCCATCTCAAAAAAAAAAAAAGAAAAGAAATAATCTGAAAATTATACATAGCAACACATGGAAGTTGATTTGAAAAGTTGTCCCTGTTGAACTAGGACTCCCTGGAGAACTGCCTGACTCAAGGGCTAGGGAAGGGAAAATGCATGATGAACCTGGAGGACCTTGTGTTGCCAGAAAGTAAGGGGTCAGGGAACAGGCCTGACAAAGCAACATGCAGCCAACCTGAAAGAGCTCCCAGTGGCCAAAGCTGGAAAACTTTGAACAACAAAATTAATAAAAATACTACTGAGTTATAACCCAAAGAAAAAAGTAAATATCAGTGAGTTTATACTGATAAAAATAAATGGTTACATACATAAATAATTGAAGGAGAAGTGAAAAAAATCTTCCTTGTGGAAGATTTCCAAATAGTAAACATAAAAGAAATGAGGGAAATGGAAGACACCACTTGATGTGGTTTGGCTGTGTCCCCACTCAAATCTTGTCTTGAATTGTAGCTCCCATAATCCCCACCTGACCTGGGAGGTACCCAGTGGGAGGTAATTGAATAATGGCTCTGATTTTTTCCCATGCTGTTCTGGTGATAGTGAATAAATCTCATGAGATCTGATGGTTTATAAAGGGCAGTTCCCCTCCACATGCTCTCTTGCTTACCACCATACAAGATGTGCCTTTGCTCTATCTTTGCCTTCCGCCATGATTGTGAGGCCTCCCCAGTCCTGTGGAACTGTGAGTCCATTAAACATCTTTTTCTTTATAAATTACCCAGTCTCCCATATGTCTTTATTAGCAGTGTAAGAATGGACTAATACACCACTAGAATACCACAGTAATAGTCGCCATAGGGAAGATTCATGGAAGACTGCTGAAATTAGTGTCTGAAACATAAGGAAGAAACAGGATATTTGCATAACCTCAAATATCTGTGCCCAAAGATTTATTAATTACTGTACTGAATTTAACATATATCCACAAATTCTTTCATACTTTTTCCTCCAGCAGGTGGAGTTTAATTTCCCTCCTTATGAAAGTAAGCTGGATTTAGTGCCTTGCTTGTAATAAATAGAGTTTTGGAAAAGTAAAAATAGTGACCCTACAGCGAAAAAATCTGAAAGATTTGGCCTTATCCAAGTGATGGAGGTGAGCATCACCAATGATAAGTAGTGTTGATGTCAAGCATCCCCGGAAATGATGCAACGAGAAGGACGTCACCACTGTGTTACCTTACCCCCAAATCCAGAATGCCAGTCCAATCATGAGAAAACATCAGCAACTGAGGAGCATTCTACAAAATACCTGACTAATACTCTTCAAAAGTGTCAAGTTCATGAGTAACAAGGGAAGACAGCGACGCTGTCACGGATTGGCAGAGACTAAGAAGACATAACAGATGAATGCAACGTGGTATTCTGGATTGGATCCTTGAATAGGAAAAGGGTATTATTGGAAAAACTGGCAAAAAGACAAATAAAGTCCATAGTTTAGTCAATAGTGTAGCAATGTTGATTTCTTAGTTTTGATAAATGTGTCATGGTTATATAACACGCTACAATTAGGGGAGACTGGGTGGAAGGCTTCCTGGAACACTTTATACTATCCTTACAACTTTTCTATAAATCTTAGTATTTCAAAGTTAACTAAAAGTGAAAAATTGTAAAGTCCCTTGTTTCTTAAAACAAATCTAGGATGCTTGTTATGTGTTAACAATTCTTGTAAATGCAAATCACTTTGAAGAGCAATAAATATTACCCAGAAAAACTGACCACTTTCAATCCCCATGACCTAACAATTTTATTGATTGTATGTTTTTAAAAATGTGCCTGTGCCCAATATCACTAATTAATAGGGATGCATATCAAAACTGCAACAATGTACCACTTTCTAGCCATTAGTTTGGCTACTACTAGAAAACAAAAACAAAAACAGATATTTGAACCCTTGACACTGCTGGTGGGAATGTAAAATGGTACAGTAGCAATGGAAAACAGTTTGGAGGTTCTTCAAGAAATTGAAAATAGATATATCTTGTCATTCAGCATTTTCACTTCTGGGGATATATCCAAAAGAATTGAAAGTAGGGACCTAAACAAATGTGTGTATACCCATGTCCATAGCAGCATTACTTGCAACAGCTAAAACGTGGAAGCAACCCAAAGATCCATCAGTGGAAGAATAGATAAGCAAAATGTGCTACATACATACAATGAAATATTAATCAGCATTAAGAGGCAATGAAATTCTGAGACATACTACAACATGGATAAACCTTGAAGATGTTATGCTAAGTGAAATAAGTCAGTCACAAAATGACAAATATTCTGTGATTCCCCTCATACAATATACTTAGTAAGATTCATGGGGACAGAAAGCAGAATGATGGTTGCCAGGGGCTGGGGGAAGGCAGAATGGAGAGTTATTGTTTGAAAGGTACAGAGGTTTTTTTTTTTAATTATTATTATTTCAATAGTTTTGAGAAAGCAGGTGGTGTTTCGTTACATGGATAAGTTCTTGAGTGGTGATTATGAGATTTTGGTGCACCCATCACCCAAGCAGTGTACACTGTACCCAATGTATAGCCTTTTGTCCCTTATCACCCACTTCTCCTCAAGTCCCAGAGTCCATTATGTCATTCTTACGCCTTTGCGTCCCCATAGCATAGCTTCCACTTATAAGTCAGAACATACGATGTTTGGTTTTCCATTCCTGATTTACATCAGTTAGAATAGTGATCTCCAACTCCATCAAGGTTGCTGCAAATACCATTATTTCATTCATTTTTATGGCTGAGTAATATTCCATGGTATATATATACACCACATTTTCTTTATCCACTATTGATTGATGGGCATTTGGGCTGGTTCCTTATTTTTGCAACTGTTAAACTGTGCTGCTATAAATGTGTGTGCAAGTGTCTTTTTCATAGAATGACTTCTTTTCGTCTGGGTAGATACTCACAAGTGGGATTGCTGGATCAAACGGAAGTTCTACTTTTAGTTCTTTAAGGAATTTCCATACTGTTTTTCATAGTAGTTATACTAGTTTACGTTTCTACAAGCAGTGTAAAAGTGTTCCCTTTTCACAACATCCATACCAACGTCTATAATTTTTTGATTTTTAAAATTATGGCCATTTTTGCAGGAGAAAGGTGGTATTGCATTGTGGTTTTGATTTGCATTTCCATGATAATTAGTGATGTTGTGCATTTCTTTATATGTTTGATGGCCATTAGTATATCTTCTTTTGAGAATTGTCTGTTCATGGCCTTAGCTCACTTTTTGATGTGTTTGTTTTTATCTTGTTGATTTGTTTGAGTTTCTTGTAGATTATGAATATTAGTCCTCTATTGGATACATAGTTTGTAGTTTGCGAATCTTTTCTCCCACTCTGTGCATTGACTGTTTACTATGATGATTATTTCTTTTGATTTGCAGAATGTTTTTACTTTAATTAAGTCTCATCGGTTTATCTTTGTTTTTATTGCATTTGCTTTTGAGTTCTTGATCATTAACTTTTTGCCTAGGCCAATGTCTAGAAGAGTTTTTCCAGTGTTATCTTCTAGAATTTTTATGGTTTCAGGTCTTAGATTTAAGTCTTTGATCCATTTTGAGTTGATTTTGTATAAGGTGAGAGATGAGGATTTAGTTTCATTCCTGTACATGTGGCTTGCCAATTATCCCAGCAGCATGTGTTAATAGGGGATCCTTTCTCCATTTTATGTTTTGTTTGCTTTGTGGAAGATCAGTTGATCATAAGTATTTGGCTTTATTTCTGAGTTCTCTATTCTGTTTTATTGGTCTATGTGCTTATTTTTTCATCAGTTCTATGCTGTTTTGGTAGCTATAGCCTTGTAGTATAGCTTGAAGTGAGAGAATGTGATGCCTCCAGATTCGTTCTTTTTGCTTATTTAATCTTGCTTTGGCCATATGGGCTCTTTTTTGGTTCCATATGAATTTTAGGATTGTTTTTTCTAGTTCTGTGAAAAATGATGATGGTATTTTGATGGGAATTGCATTGAATTTATAAATTGCTTTCAGCAGAATTATCCTTTTCACAATATTGATTCTACCCATCCATGAGCATAGGATGTGTTTCCATTTGTTTGTGTTGTCTGTGATTTCTTTCAGCAGTGTTTTGTAGTTTTCCTTGTAGAGATTTTTCACATTTTTGGTTGGGTATATTCTTAAGTATTTTACTTCTTTGTAGCTGTTGTAAAAGACATTGAATTCTTTATTTGATTCTAAGCTTGGTCATTGTTGGTGTATAGCAGTGCTACTGATTTGTGTACATTAATTTTGTACCTGAAACTTTACTGAATTCGTTTATTAGATCTATGAGCTTTTGGGATGAGTCTTTAGGGTTTTCTAAGTATACCGTCATGTCAGTGGCATTAGCAACAGTTTGACTTTCTCATTACTGATTTGGATGCCTTTTATTTACCTCTCTTGTCTAATTGCTCTGGCTAAGACTTTCAGTACTATGTTGAATACAAGTGGTGAAAGTGGGCATCCTTGTTTTGTTCCACTGATTAGAGAAAATTCTTTGAGCTTTTCCCATTCAGTATGATGTTGGCTGTGGATTTGTCATAAATGGCTTTTATTACCTTAAGGTATGTCCCTCTATGCTGTTTTGCTGAGGGTTTTAATCATAAAGGGATGCTGGATTTCATCAAATGCTTTTTCTGCATCTATTGAGGTGATCATATGACTTTTGATTTTACTTCTGTTTATGTGCTGTATCACATTTATTGACTTGCATATGTTAAACCATCCCTGTATCCCTGTTATCAAACACACTTGATCATGGTGGATTATCTTTTTGATATGCTGTTGAATTGAGTTAGATAGTATTTTGTGGAGGATTTTCACATCTATGTTCATCAGGGATATTGGTTTGTAGTTTTCTTTTTTTTGTTATATCTTTTCCTGGTTTTGGTATTAGGGTAATTCTGGCTTCATAGAATGATTTAGGGAGGATTCCCTCTTTCTCTATCTTTTGGAATAGTTTCAGTAGGATTGGTACCAATTCTTCTTTGAATGTCTGATAGAATCCAGCTGCTCCTGGACTTGTTGTTGCTGGCAGTTTTTTTATTGCTGTTTTAATCTTGCTACTTGTTATTGGTCTGTTCAGAGTTTCTATTTTTTTCTGGTTTAATCTAGGAGGATTATATATTTCCAATAATTTATCCAAATCTTTTAGGTTTTCTAGTTTGTGGACATAAAGGTGTTCATAGTAGCCTTGAATGATCTTTTGTATTTCTGTGGTATTAGTTTAACATCTCCCATTTCATTTCTAATTGAGTTTACTTGGATCTCCTCTCTTTTTCTCTTGATTAATCTTGCTAATAGTATCTCACTTTTGTTTATGCAAAAAGAACCAGCTTTTTGCTTCATTTATCTTTTGTATTGTTTTTGTTTGCTTGTTTCAATTTTATTTAGTTCTACTGTGATCCTGGTTATTTCTTTTTTTCTGCTGGATTTGGGTTTGGTCTGTTCTTGCTTCTCTAGTTCCTTGAGGTGTGACCTTGGGTTGTTTATTTGTGCTCTTTCAGACTCTTTGATGTAGGCATTCAATGCTATGAACTCTCCTCTTAGCACCGCTTTTGCTGTGTCCCAGAGATTTTGATTGGCTGTGTCACTATTTTTGTTCAGTTCAAATATATTTTTTAATTTCCATCTTTATTTTATTTAACCCAAGGATCATTCTGGAACAGATTATTTAGTTTCCATGTATTTGTATAGTTTTGATGGCTCCTTTGACAGTTAATTTGTAATTTTATTCCACTGTGGTCTGAGAGAGAGTATTTTACATAATTTCAATTTTCTTAAATTAATTGAGACATGGTTTTTTTTTTTTTTTTTTTAGATGGAGTCTCACTCTTGTTGCCCAGGCTGGAGTGCAGTGGCATGATCTCAGCTCACTGAAACTTCCTCCTCCCAGGTTCAAGTGATTCTTCTGCCTCACCTTCCCTAGTAGCTGGGACTACAGGTGCATGCCACTATGCCCAGCTAATTGTTTTTGTATTTTTAGTAGAGACAGGGTTTTGCCATGTTGGCCAGGCTGGTCTCAAACTCTTGACCTCAGGTGATATGTCTGCCTTGGCCTCCCAAAGTGCTGGGATTACAGGTGTGAGCCACCACACCCGGCCGAGACACATTTAGTGGCCTATCATATAGTCTATTTTGGAGAATGTTCCATGTGCTGAGGAGAAGAACGTATATTCAGCAGTTGTCGGATAGAATGTTCTATAAACATCTGTTAAGTCCATTTGTTCTAGGGTGTAGTTTTCCATTGTTTCTTTGTTGACCTGTATTTATGGCCTTTCTAGTGGTCAGTGGAGTACTGAAGTGCCCACTATTATAGTGTTGCTGTCTATCTAATTTCTTAGGTCTCATGATAATTGTTCTATAAATTTTGGAGCTCCAGTGTTAGGTGCATATGTATTTAGGACTGTGATTTTTCTCCTGTTGGACTAGTTTTTGATCACTATTTAACTGTTGCTGATTTAAAGTCTTTTCTGTCTGATACAAGAATGGATACTTCTACTCACTTTTGGTATCCATTTGTGTGGAATATCTTTTTCCACTTGGTTACCTTAGGTTCAGGTGAGGCCTTATGTGTTAGATGCACCTCTTAAAGACAGCAGATACTTGATTGGTGGATTTTTATTCATTCTGTCATTCTGTATCTTTTTTTTTTTTTTTGAGATGGAGTCTCGCTCGGTCACCAGGCTGGAGTGCAGTGGTCTGATCTTGGCTCACTGCAACCTCCACCTCCCGAGTTCAAGTGATTCTCCTGCCTCAGTGTCCCGAGTAGCTGGGACTAATGGCTTGTACCACCTCGCTTAGCTAATTTTTGTGTTTTTAGTAGAGACGGGGTTTCACAATGTTGGCCAGGATGGTCTAGATCTCTTGACCTCATGATCTGCCCACCTCTGCCTTCCAAAGTGCTGGGATTACAGGTGTAAGCCACCGTTCCCAGCCCTGTATCTCTTAAGTGAAGCATTTAATCCATTTATGTTCAACATTAATATTGAGATGTGAGGTACTGTTCTATTCATCATGCTAGTTGTAGTCTCAATATGTTGTTTTTTTAATTGTGTTATTGTTTTATAGATCCTGTGAGATTTATGCTTTAAAGAGGTTCTATTTTGGTGTATTTTAGGTTTCATTTCAAGATTTAAGACTCCTTTTAGCATTTTTTGTAGTGCTGGCTTGGTAGTAACAAATTCTCTCAACATTTGTTTGTTTGAAAAATACTTTATCTCTCCTTCATTTATGAAGCTTAGTTTCACTAGATATAAAATTCTTGACTGTTATTGTTTTGTTTAAGGAGGCTAAATATAGGACCCCATCCCTTCTGTCCTGTAGGGTTTCTGCTGAGGAATCTGTTGTCAATCTGATAGCTTTTTCTTTATAGGTTACCTGCTGCTTTTGCCTCACAGCTCTTAAGATTATTTCTTTCATCTTAACTTTAGATAACCTGATGACTATGTGCATAGGTGATGATCTTTTTGTGATGAATTTCCCAGGTGTTCTTTGAGCTTCTTGTATTTGGATGTCTAGATCTCTAGCAAGGCCAGGGAAGTTTTCCCTGAGTATTCCCTCAAATAAGTTTTCCAAACATTTAGATTTCTTTTCTTCCTCAGGAATGCCAATTATTCTTATGCTTGGTTATTTAACAAAACCCCAAATTTCTTGGAGTCTGTTAATTTTTTAAAATTCTTTTTTCTTTGTCTCTTTTTTTCAGTTAATTTGAAAGCCTTGTCATTGAGCTCTGAAGTTCTTTATTCTACTTGTTTTATTCTATTGTTGAAACTTTTCAGTGTATTTTATATTTTTCTAAGTGTGTCTTTCATTTCCAGAAATTGTGATTGTCTTTGCTTTATGATACCTGTTTCTCTGGAGACTTTTTCATCCATATACTGTATTGTTTTCAACATTTCTTGAAGTTGGTTTTCACCTTATTCTGGTGCCTCCTTGAATAGCTTAATAACCAACCTCCCAATTTTTTTTTTTTTTTTTTTTTTTTTTTTTTTTTTTTTTGGCAATTCAGAGATTTCTTCTTGGTTTGGATCCACAGCTGGAGAGCTAGTGTGATCTTTTGGCGGTACTATACAACTTGTTTTGTCATATTACCAGAATTACTTTTTTGGTTTCTTTTCATTTGGGTAGACTGTTTCAGTGGAAAGATCTGGAACTCAAGGGCTGCTATTCAGATTCTCTTGTCCCACGTGGTGGTGCTCTCTTGATGTGTGCCCTCCCCCTTCCTCTAGGGATAGGGCTTCTTGAGAGCCAGATTGCAGTGATTGCTAATGCCCTTCTGGGTCTAGACACCCAGTGGGGCTACTGGGCTCCAGGCCGGTGCTGCAGAATGTCTGCAAAAAGTCCTGTGCTGTGATTTGTCTTCAGGTCTCCCAATTCTGGATAACAGCCCCTGCTCTGGTGGAGGTGGCAGGGGAGTGAAGTGAACTCTGGGATTTTTTGGTTGTTGTAATGTGATGGTTTTCTCAAATGCTGGTTATGCTAGCAGTGAAATTTTCACATGGACAGACTCAGGACCTCTGGTTAGCCAGGATGTTGCAGACCGTGGAATTAGCTGTTGTTTTCTCCTTCTATGGAGCAGGGTTGTTCTCTTATGAGTTGCTGTAATGGCTTCAGTTGGTTGGCCTCCAGCCAGGAGGTGGCACTCTCAAGAGAGCACAAGCTACAGTTGTAGAAGGGGGCTACCATCTTGCCCTATGTTGGCCAGGATAAGTACTCGGGTTTCTCAGGTGATGGGCAGGGACATAGAGCTCCCAAGAGTTTATGTCTTTTGTCTTCAGCTACCAGGGCAGGTAGAGAAAAACCATCAGCTGAAGACAGGGCTAGGCATGTCTAAGCTCAGACTCTCCTTGGGCAGGGCTTGCTTCAGCCACTATGGGGGATTATGGGGTGGTTCTCAGGCCAATGGAGCCTTTGCTGCATCATTCTGGTTGCCAGGGAAGGTGGGGGAAAGCTGCCAGTGACAGGCCTCACCCAGCTCTCATGCAGCCAGTGGGGCCAGTCTCCTGTATGCCACCCAAACTGCACTGAGTTTATATCCTGGCAGCCAGTGAGCAGGGCTGAGATCTTGCCCCAGGCTACAAGCCATTCCACTGAGAAAGCAAGCAGGGCTCTCAGGCTTCACCTCTCTGCCTGCTCACACCTTTGGCTGCAAGCTTCTGTGCTCTATTGTGCTTCCCATTTGCCACCCACTCCCACAACCCACCATCTCCATTCTACTCAGGAAAGTTTGTGCTCAGTCAAAATTATTACAAAGTTCAGCTAGGAGCTTCTGTCACCCTGTGGCCCCTCTGCAATTTCACTGGCTCCCCTCCCTTCCCCAA
Source organism: Homo sapiens (assembly GCF_000001405.40). Taxonomy (NCBI): domain Eukaryota; kingdom Metazoa; phylum Chordata; class Mammalia; order Primates; family Hominidae; genus Homo; species Homo sapiens. The sequence continues at coordinate 75,606 of NT_187543.1, read as the reverse complement.
GGACTGTGACATAAGGCCAGGAATGGCTTCCCTGGGCTTCGCTGGGGACTGGGAGTGCCTACAGGGCTCTTCCCACTGCTTCTTCTACTTTTATATTTTGCTCGGCTTCCTAAATCCATTTCAGCTCTAGGTAAGATTAAAGCCTTCTCCTGTGATCTGAATTTTCAGGTTCCCCAGTGGGGATGTGTGTTCAGAGGCAGACTTTTTCGCCTCTCACACTTTGGGAACTCACAGTTTTTCAGCTGTCTTGCAGCATTTGCAGTGGCAAGCCACTTCTTTCAAAGGGTCTGTGAATTCTTTCAGTCTCCCTAGTATGTCCCTACACTGGTTCTTGGAACAGAAGTTCACAATGTGAATCTCCAGACGCTGATCTGTTTGTCTAAATGGGAGCTGCACGTTAGTCCTGTCTCCTCTCTGGTGTTTTTTCTCTCCTACCTGAAAGGTACAGCGTTTCAGTGTGGGATGATGAAAAGTGCTGGAGTGGATATTGGTGATGGCTGCACAACAATGGGAATGAATTTAATGCCACTGAGTTGTACATTTGAAAATCATTAAAATGGCACATTTTAGTCATGTATATCTTACCACAATAAAACATCAGTTAAAAGAATTTTATTTATAGACCAAATATGTCTGTGCTCTATTTATAACTCCTAGTCTGTTAGGAATCACCCCAAGTACATGTTCCTAGGATTAATGCTTTCTAAAATAATCCTGTGGTCTGGTACATATTCTCAAGGAAGGGATTCCTGTTGAACTCAGCTTGAGGAATTCTTTCCTGTCTACTGCTCAGTGTCTGTTGACTGGAATGCTGGAGAAGATGCAGCACAAATTGGCCCCTGTGGTGCTCACATGATTTCCTTGTGCTTTCCTAGGGTGGGATGCAGCGTGGGAGTGCCGGGGTGTGGAGTGCAGCGTGGGGGTGCCGGGGTGTGGGATGCAGCGTGTGAGAGGCGGGGTGTGGAGTGCAGCGTGGGGGTGCCGGGGTGTGGAGTGCGGCGTGTGAGTGCCGGGGTGTGGAGTGCAGCGTGGGGGTGCCGGGGTGTGGGATGCAGCGTGGGGGTGCCGGGGTGTGGAGTGCAGCTGGTGTTTCACGTTGCTGAACTAAAGCCTTGGTTGCACTCAGCATTCAGATGCTGGGGACACTGTGGTGACCTGACACAAGGTAGCATAGAGATGGCATTGCCCTCAGCCTGCTAGCAACAGGAGGGTCGGGGTCCATCCTCAGCATGTGCAGGCTGCCCCTCGTCCGCAGCGGGAATCAAACTGACGCTGCATGTCTCTTAACAGTTTCAGGTTTTGCCTTGTCCCATGTTTGGATGTGATGATTTGGGTTGGCTCTGGCCACCTGCAATACCCTGAGTTATTAGAAAATGTAAGGAGCTATTCGTCATCCCTGTTTCCTGTGTCCTTAACCTTTCTCTGTTTTTAGTTTCTCAGCATTCAAGGGCTGAGCCAGTGCTCTTTAGTGAAGGACGTCTTTTTGTGGATATGAACAATTTCTCCCCACTTCTCTTTCCCATCTTGTCTCTAACGTGGAGGGAAGGGAGTGATGTTTGTCCACAGCACCTTCGGCAACTATCATGACATGTTTGCGATCGTCACCGTCTTGTGCTAGACGCATAGTCATGATGCATATTTGGCACATTTGGTGCTCAATAAATGACCTCACACAGACACACAGCAACATGTGAAAAGCCAGTAGGAGGAAGATCGACTGCCTCATAAAGGTCAGCAAACGTTTTCTGTAAAGGGACAGAGAGTAAATATTTTTGGCTCTGTGGCCATATGGTCTCTGTCACAAATACTCAACTCTGCCAGTTAGAAAGCAGCCATGGACAAGAGGCAGGTGAATGGGCATGGCTGTTTCAATCATCTTTATAAAAAAAAAAAAAATGTGGGCCAAACTGGCCTTCAACCTGTAGCTTTCCAGCCCAGTATAACCTTTTCTTTAGCTATTCACTTTTGTTTAGTCTTAGAGTTAATGACTATGTCGAAAAAGTCTTTGAGACCAGGAATAAAATTTAAGGAAAAATATGCTAATCACCTTATTTCCAAATTATAGGTAAAATAAGTACAAATAATAGCAGATTACAATGGGTCTAGTTTAGTGAAAGGCTAGAGGACATATAATAGAGGCACATGTAAAAATTATAGATAATAGTGTCAACTTTCATAACTTAAAGTGAAAAATTTCTTTTACTATGTTTACTTTGCAGACAGAAAAATAACATTAGTAAGGAATAATTGCTATTTCTTTTTGGTTATTTTTCTCTCATTCATATTAACTTTTCCTAAATTTCAAAACCGTTAGGCTCAATATCTCATAATCTGTGTGAGAAGAATATTTTTGTATCATCTGCTCTGAAAAACTAAACTGATTATATTCTCTACTAAACACCTGCTCATATCCTGTTGATGCCTCTAAGCAGAGGAAGAAATGGTTGCTCTAAACAGGTGGCAAAGCCCTGATTTTGCACACATAAAGATTTGCTTGCTTCCCACATGATGGGCATCTTTCCACTCATGGTAAGGCATCATTGTCTTCTTAGTTTATATTCACTGATTCAGTATTTCCTGAGTACCTGCTATGAGCCAAGCACTGCTCATAAGTTTTCTGTGCTTCAGCAAATCAGTGAACAAAAGAGACAAAGATCTCCATCCTCAAGGTGCTTGTTTTTCACAGGGAGGGGCAGGTAGTCAACAATAAACACAATAAAGTGGGCAGTACAGAGTGGTAAAAGTGAACAGAATTATGGAGAACAGTAGGACAGAGTGATGAGAGTGCAGAGTGCTGTGCTGTGTGTGTCTGGGTGAGGGAGGTTTCAGGGTTAAGCGGGGTGATCAGAGCAGTGGGTAGACCCCCTGAAAAGAAGAAGCTTGAGCCAAAATTTGAAAAAGATAAAGAAATAGATCATGGCTATCTGAGAGAAGAGACTTCCAAATGGAGAGCAGATAGAGCAAGGATCATGAGACAGGTGCTTGCCTCTTGCATCCATGGATGAGCATGGAGTCTGGCATGGCTGCAGCAGTGAGGGAGGGTGGAGCTTTCAGAGGGGAGGTTGGACTGGTATTGGGTCCAGACCACGGATGGCCTCAGAGCCCACCAGCTCAGAAGTGGAAAGCGATTGCAGGGTGCTGGGCAGAAGTGTGTCTAAAAGGAAGTCTCAAAAGAATGCTTCTGACTGCTGTGCTCAGAGTAGACTGCAGGGGTCAGGGGTAGAAACAGTGGAGTCTGTGAGAGGCTTGTGCAACCTCCCAGTGAAAGATGATGGTGACTCCAACCAGGTTGTAGCATTGGAGGTGGTGAGAAAAGCCAGATTTGGGTAGATCTTGAAAGTAGGACAATCACATTTTCTGAGGGATTGGAGGCAGGGCGTGAGAGAAAGAATGATGCTCAGGATGATGCTCAGGTTTTTGGCCTGTTATATGTTAATAGAAATCCTCTCTATACAGAGATTTAAAAAGAAAATGCTGTTAAAGTGTTATCCAATAACAACTACCCTTATATTTGTATTGTAACTTTATACTGTTAGATGAAAATGCCAACAGAATGTCTCTTCTGGTCTGAGAAGAATAGCCACATATAAAACCTGTCTGCAGCTTACTGTTCTCTAGCAGAGGTTGTGCTTTTATGGATAGCTCACTGGCCTGCTTCCTAGCAGAGGCTCCTAGCTGGAGGGAGGACTCTAACTCTCATGGCATGTGCTGCTTAGTCTTGAGACTAAGAATAAGGGTTTGGAGTATAATAATTAGTTCTTGGTTCTGTTCTGCTTGGAAAAAAACCTCAGAAAGCCTCTTGGTGCCCACAATGATGAAAATAGTCATTACTAATTGTATTCGTGGGCACCCAAGGCATAAACATGTACAAGGCACTTAATAATAACACCATCATCACATCGACTTTTATGATTCTTGGGCTTACCCTGGGCCACACACTTTGTTGGGAGCTCCACACATTGTCTTTCAACCCCTCGCGGCACCTTGAAAGCTATAATCCTTTTGTAACAGATGAAGTGTCTGAAATGCAGAAAGGTTACTGGACTTGTTTAAGTCCAAATAGATACTGCAGAGTGGGGCTGGGGCTCCCTTGACTCCAGACTTGCCCATCTCCAATGCCAGCATCCTTCTGATTTTCCTGCCTCCAAAACTCAGGGATTTAGATGAATGATGTATTCATAACATGCTAACTCAACAAACACATTGATTTAGTGTTTTCTACATGTTAGAAACTGACTTAGCTTGACATTGGAGGATAAAAGATTGATTGATTGGTTGATCAAATGGTTTTTGAATGCTTATTATATGCCAGAGGTGTGCAATACTATAGAAAGATAAAGATGAATGGTCCTTTGTCTTAAGAAGGAACCACCGTTTCTTGGATGTCCTGGATGGTGGTGTTTAAATACTATAGGACAAGAAGCAGCAGAAACCTAAATGGGAAGCCTTCTGTTTGAAAACCCTTCCTTATTTAGGCATTTTAAAAATGTATTAATCTAAGAAATTTGGTACTTTTTGAATTGGAAAGTGGACAATCATATTTCAAGAATGGTTTGAGGCAGGCTTAGCTTAGGTACAAGTTATTATAATTATTATAATTTGTACGTAAGCTAAGTGTATTAGTCTGTTCTCGTGCTGCTAATAAAGACATACCTGGGACTGGGTAATTTACAAAGGAAGGAGGTTTAATTGGCTCACAGTTCCACATGGCTGGGGAGGCCTCACAATCATGGCAGAAAGTGAAGAGGAAGAAGGACACATCTTACATGGCAGCAGGCAACAGAGAGCTTGTGCAGGGAAATTCCCCTCTATAAAACCAACAGATCTCATGAGACTTATTCACTACCACGGGAACAGTATGGGAGGAAACGGCCTCCATGATTCAATTATCTCCACCTGGCCCCGCCAGGTGGCTAATGTGCAGGGATTATTACAATTCAAGGTGAGAATTGGGTGGGAACACAGCCAAACCATATCACTAAGCCTACCTCAAACCATTTGTAAAATATTCTTGAAATATAATTAGTTTTCTAATGTACTCTCATTCAAGTTCTTGTTTGCCTCTGAAACTCACCAGTAGATATGTAAGAAATAGTATTCAAATCACGTGAGGCTCTGACCATATCATTTCAAAACATGCTCATCTCTACTTGAGAACATGACTCCAGCGCCATCTCTTCTGAGATCCTCCTTGCTGATTTTACTTAAATTAGACGCCTTCGCATACCTGCCACATCACTTTACACTGTTAGATTTTTACATAGCTTTGTCATTGCCAGAAATTATCACCTACCTGTCTGTTCATTTATTGCTTTGTTTTGACAAAGTGTTTGATTTATGCAATATAACATTTAAGTGAAAAGAGACTCAATGTTCATCAATAGAGTTTAAAATTTCCAATCTATATGACATTATCAATAGCTTTTTTATATTAAAATACATTTTATATTAAACATACTTGTATTCACGGATGACCCAAATTGTTGGAACTAAAATTTACATTTATATAAACCCATCATTGATCTAAATACAATATGGATATGAATTTATATGTACTTTAATGTCATCAATATTAATGTGAATTCCAAATAAAAATCCATAAAATTGTTAAACATGGAGGAGACAGATATAAAGGTCTAGGGGAACAGCATTTCAGATGGAGGAACAGGCAAGGAGAGGAGCTTGGAGTGTGGTGAGGAACAGGCTTGGAGAGGAGCTTGGAGTGTGGTGAGGAACAGGCAGGAGAGAAGCTTGGAGTGTGGTGAGGAACAGGCAAGGAGAGGAGCTTGGAGTGTGGTGAGGAACAGGCTTGGAGAGAAGCTTGGAGTGTGGTGAGGAACAGGCTTGGAGAGAAGCTTGGAGTGTGGTGAGGAACAGGCTTGGAGAGAAGCTTGGAGTGTGGTGAGGAACAGGCTTGGAGAGAAGCTTGGAGTGTGGTGAGGAACAGGCTTGGAGAGAAGCTTGGAGTGTGGTGAGGAACAGGCTTGGAGAGAAGCTTGGAGTGTGGTGAGGAACAGGCAAGGAGGGAAGCTTGGAGTGTGGTGAGGAACAGGCAAGGAGGGAAGCTTGGAGTGTGGTGAGGAACAGGCAAGGAGAGGAGCTTGGAGTGTGGTGAGGAACAGGCAAGGAGAGGAGCTTGGAGTGTGGTGAGGAACAGGCAGGAGAGAAGCTTGGAGTGTGGTGAGGAACAGGCTTGGAGAGAAGCTTGGAGTGTGGTGAGGAACAGGCAAGGAGAGGAGCTTGGAGTGTGGTGAGGAACAGGCAAGGAGAGGAGCTTGGAGTGTGGTGAGGAACAGGCTTGGAGAGAAGCTTGGAGTGTGGTGAGGAACAGGCAGGAGAGAAGCTTGGAGTGTGGTGAGGAACAGGCAGGAGAGAAACTTGGAGTGTGGTGAGGAACAGGGAGGAGAGAAGCTTGGAGTGTGGTGAGGAACAGGCTTGGAGAGGAGCTTGGAGTGTGGTGAGGAACAGGCAGGAGAGAAGCTTGGAGTGTGGTGAGGAACAGGCAGGAGAGAAGCTTGGAGTGTGGTGAGGAACAGGCAGGAGAGAAGCTTGGAGTGTGGTGAGGAACAGGCAGGAGAGAAGCTTGGAGTGTGGTGAGGAACAGGCAGGAGAGAAGCTTGGAGTGTGGTGAGGAACAGGCAAGGAGAGAAGCTTGGAGTGTGGTGAGGAACAGGCAAGGAGAGGAGCTTGGAGTGTGGCGAGGAACAGGCAAGGAGAGAAGCTTGGAGTGTGGTGAGGAACAGGCAAGGAGAGGAGCTTGGAGTGTGGTGAGGAACAGGCAAGGAGAGAAGCTTGGAGTGTGGTGAGGAACAGGCTTGGAGAGAAGCTTGGAGTGTGGTGAGGAACAGGCAAAGAGAAGAGCTTGGAGTGTGGTGAGGAATAAAGAGCATTTGAAATACTCACAGAAGGTCAATGTGACGCAGATGCGGTAAGCCAGGCAGAGTGTGGCAGGAGATAAAAATAGAAAGATAAACAAGAGCCAGATAATACAGGGCTCTGTGGAACATAGTAAGGAGTTTGAATTTTATCCAAGAGGAATGGGAAGCTACTGGAAGGCTTAACCAAAGAATGACATGCTTTTATTTATACCTAAAATAGATTATTGTGTTTCCTCTGTGGAAAAGGGATTATAAGTGGGCAAGAACAGAAACAGTTAAGAAGTCATTACAGTACTTGAGGAAATGGTTCATGAGTTGGACTGGGTGGTGCAATGGTGTGAGAGAGAAGAGGGCAGATTCAGCTGGTGAGCTGATTGTGGGAAGTGAGGGGGAAAGAATGGGACTTCTAGACTTTTGGCTGAAGCAACTGGGTGGATAGTTCTATTTTCTTGGATTGAATGTTTTGGATGTGTTAAGTTTCAGAGGCTTATTAGGAATCTATGGCTAGTCAGGACTAGAAAATATAAATTTGGAAGTCATACACTTAGGGATGATAGTATTTGAAAGCGTGACCCAACTTAGCTTAAGTGGAGATAGGGAGGATAGATAGAGAAGGGAGAAGGCCCAGGACAAACATCAGGGTTTAGAAGTCTGGCAGAGAAGCCAAAGCCCTCAGAGAAGACCGAGGAGTAGCCAGAGAAGCAAGGGGATTGACTGGAGAAGGTGGCAGGGAAGCTGATAGAAGGAAATGCCTCAACAAGCATTCTCAGGTCTGCCGGATGCTGCTGAAAGAAAACGAATCACCATATTTGGCAGAAAGAAAGAAAATGAATCACCATATTCGGAAACATGAAGGCCACTGGTGGCGATGATAAAAGGAGCTTTATGGGAGTGGTGGGGAAGGACACTGACAAGAATGGAAGGAAGAGAATGAAATTCAAGGGAGTGGAAATGAGGAAAAGAGCTAGAAAGACACTGGCTCAGGGCAGGGTTTCAGAGGGAAGGATATCTTGGAGTTGGTTAGTGTGTTGGTGAGAATTCTCTTGTGTGGATGACATTATGATGGTGCAGAGGAGAGAGCGGAAAACAGCTGAAGCAAAGCCTGTGCACCTTGAGAGCTGGTGAGGTCCCGAGTGCTGGGGGAGGTGTTGCCTTGAGACAGGAATGGGAACACCTTGACGTTGCTTCCATCCTCCTGGAAGGTTGGAGTTGGTGGAGGGGAGATGGAGTTCCTCTATCTCTTCTCGATAGAGAAGGAAGAAGAAGAAATATTGGAGGCTTCAGGAGCATAAAGAAAGTGTGAAATACTTGGATGTCTTGAATACTGGAGTTTTGTTTACAAGGGAAGTGTAGCACAACCTCTGGACGGTGATAAGTATGTGTTTCAGATTTGTGACCTTGAGTTTAGAGTGTGGACAGTCACTATGGCTTTGTGATTTTCTTCAGCTGCTGGCTGATGGTGCAGTGAAATAGAATTGTAAATGGGACCTCAAGCTCTCCGGAGGAAATCGGCTCTCGGTGACTAATGGAGACACCCAAATTTAGATAACAGATTCAAGTGGCCATAAGGGGCAGTGAGAGGAGAACCATCTCTTCACAAACATCGTACTTCATGTGCTTTCTGTGACCAGAGCCAAGAAAAACAGTGGCTAGACTCCTCATCTCCACCCCATTGGCCATTTTAAAAGAAAACACCTGACAAAGACACTTTTAATGTTGGGATGGGAAGCCACCCAGTCAAGGCTTGGCTATCTCAACCAATAAGAACTGAACACACGTGAATCCTACATTTGCATAAACAGACGTGACAGAGAACCTGGGAGAAAACTTTTCCTATTTGAGCCATAAACCCTTCCTTTGTTCTTCGGTGCACACACTTTCATTTGTGCTTCTGAAGAAATGTCTGCGGGAGTTGTTTTTTTTTTTTTTTTTTTTTTTTAACTGTTTTATAGACAACAAAGCTCTTCCTTTTTCCTCTGCAGATTTCATGATCTTTTATTAACAGCGCTGAGTAGGTGAATAGTTGGTCTGAATAGGTTATTGCTTTGCTGTGTGAATTCAATGGAAACAAAGTTTGTGGTTATAGTTTATCAAATTGAATAACGTGATTATAATGATGGGCCCTGGACCCCAAAGTGGGAAAGTTCAAAGTAAGACCAGGAGGGGATGATAGATAATAAAAACATTTTAAGGTCAATGGATTTGTGGTTTACAATGTTGAAAATGGTTGGAGTAGGCAGCACAGAGTAAGTGAGCTGGAAAGATAAGGCTTAGTAGGAGAATGAGATGTTAACATCAGTCTTTTTAATATTATTATTATTATTTTGAGACAGAGTCTCACTCTGTCATCCAGGCTGGAGTGCAGGGACACAATCTCAGCTCACTGCAACCTCTGCTTCCCAGGCTCAAGCAATTCTCCTACCTCAGCCTCCCGAGTAGCTGGGACCACAGGCACCTGCCACCACGCCTGGGTAATTTTTTGTATTTCGGGTACAGATGGGGTTTTGCCATGTTGCCCAGGCTGGTCTCTGACTCCTGAGCTCAGACAATCCACCCACCCTAGGGGCTTGGATTACAGTGTGAGCCACTGCACCCAGCCAGTATCAGTCTTATGGGGTGGGGCATTTATTGTTATATGGCAAGGGCTAAGGTGTGGTCGTGGGGCTGGGTCTCATGGGATGGTGGAGGAAAGAGTGTCGTGGGAGAGAAAGCTAAGGATCTGAGAGCTCACTGCTCAGTGGATTATCTACGCGCAAGCTGAAGTCACTGAAAATGGTAACAAGGGTAGGTAGAGATGAAGATGGAGCCAGCCGCTGAAGTCCGTGGTGGATGAAGGAAAGAACGTGGGGGGTCTGAAGATGGCAGGGAAACGCAGGTGGTCTAGTCAGATGGCGTGTGCTCCAAAGGAGCTGGAGGCTTTTGGAGGAGAAAGGAGGAGATACCGTGTGAATACAGCAGTGGGAGTAAGGGCGTGCTTGCCCCACCTGCAGGCCATGGCTTATGTGCAATATGGGAGGAAAAACATTCCCGTGGAGAAGGAGGCTGGGAAAGTCATGCTCGCTGATAGCTAGGGGTGAAGAGAATTTTTAAAGAGGAACTACAGTATGCAAGAGAGGATTTAGGGAGCTGATATATACGAGCAGGATGCAGAGGAAGAGTTTGGGAAAATGGGATAGGGTGAGAAATTATAGAATGCACAGGAAGTGATGGAGAGGAGTTAGTAAATGGTCAAATGACTTTGAAAATCCAATCATTTCAAAGCACATAGCCTTCTGTGCTAAGGAGAAACACACAACTGCTTTGCTAAGGCAGGCATGGCAACATTAACTGTCCTCTGCTGCCCCTTCCCTCTGTCTGTCTTAAACTCAGAAGCCCCATTCTCCTGAGCTTTGGTTGGGCATATGGCTGCCTGCTGGAGACTGCATATCCCAGCTTCCCCAGTGAAAAAGCTGGACCATGTATCTAAGTCCCCCAGCAGTGAAAGGCCCTTAAAAGGAGGGATTTGGGGCTCGGTTTCTCTTCTCATAGGATTAAGCATGGGTGTGGTGGGGAGTCAGTATCGACGGCATGGATGATTAGAACATCCCGAGGAAAGCCAGTGCAATGTCAAGGGTATCAGAGCCCCAGATGACTTCATGCAGCGGAGCTGCTTACCTGCCCTGAGCCGCCTGCCTGCTTCTCGAAAGTGTGAAAGATCAATCGGGTCTACTTCGTTAGGCCCTAAACACTACATCGCATGTCCAGGTTCTGGCTTTGAACGTATTTGAACATATGCTAATAGCCAGTCTCATTATGTCACTTTATAGAATCACATAAATCACCCTTTCGGACCCTAGAATATTCCTGGTCGAGGTCAGGACACATTTGAAAATGTGGGAAAGGCTGTATAATAGCCTTCAGGTTTTCATGACTTGTTTACTACCTGAGGGATTAGTCAACAAATTTAGTAATCAATCCACAGATATTTGAATCAACAAAAAGGACTGACAAGTGTCATGTAATTTTCCTCATGTTTTTGAGGGTTACGTGGCAGGTGCTGTTTGTATCATGTCCTCTTCAGCTCCTTTTTAGGGGAACAGTATGCCAGCATTTCTGCGTTTTGGGGTGAGGCCTGCTGTCCTCACCCTGGTGCGAGCACATGAAGTAAACGGGACACCTAACAGTGTGGTTTTCCTCTCTGTGCCAGCGGCTCGGATTCCCTCCCTCACCTGCAGGCTGAGCAGGTCGGCTTGTCCGTCATTCTGCCTTTTAAGTGAATCAGAGGGCAAAAGTTCCCTTTCCCTGGCACAGTTGAGCCATCTCTTTTGATTCAGTTGTGGAAGTCTCCAGCCTCAGTGAGGGCTGTAAAAGGCAATCATGCAAAGTGTCTCGTTCTTTAAGGGAATGGTATTCGTCAGATTTCTGACTTTTTGGAGATGCTGTTGGTGGAGAAACACTTTCTGATGCTTCAAATGCAACATCTTTTATGCAGTTCAGTAAGAAAAAATCTTCCTCAATCCTCATTTTTACAAACATGTCCATTTGATTTGTTACTTTGCATGGTTACATTATTTTTGTGTAATAATTACTGTGGCTTTTAATAACAAGGTTAATTATCACTAGCAACTTAATGTATTCCACCAGGAGCACTTTTTTTTTTACCCTGTCTTCCTGTTATGTGGTAGTTTTTCTGTTTCTTCCAGTAGAAGCTTCAGTGAGGCTGCATGCATGCACAATAAAGGGTTGTACGAGCAGTGTTTTGGGCAAGACAGGCCTGGAGAGCTTTGTCCCATGCCAGTGCCATGGGGCCCAGTGAAAGCCTGGCCTGGGTATTAATTAAGGACAGAGACACGGAGCACCATCCAAGGGGAGAGAACAAATCTGTTCCTTCACAGCAGATCCTATTTGCAAGTGCCACTCTCTCTGCCTGAAATTCTCCTCTCCCAACTTTCCATCAGTTTCTTGAGAGTTTTCTTTTTTTTTTTTTTAAAAAAAAACAACTTTGTTGAGATATAATTCACATTCCATACAACTCACCCACTTCAACTGTATGACTCAATGGTTTTCAATATATTCACAAGTAGGTACAAACATCACCACAGTCAATTTTAGAACATTTTTATCACCTCAAAAAGAAACCTAGAACTCTTTCCAAATGGCCCCATCTTCTCACCCCCATGGCTAAGAAACCATTTACCTCCTTTCTGTCTGTGTGGACCCCTCCATTCTGGATTTTCATATGAACGGAATCATAGAGTATGTGGTCTTTTGTGACTGACGTCTTTCACCTACCACGATGTTATTAAGGTTCAAGCATGTTGTAGGATGTATTAGTACTTCATTATCTTTTATGGCTGAATGAGGTTTCATTATGCAGATAGACCTTATTTTGCTTATCCATTTAGCTATTGAAAATCTGGCTTTTGTGAACAATGCTGCTGTGAACATGGACATGAAAATGCCTCTTCAAGATCCTACTTTCAATTATTTGGAACATATGGGTAAGTTGTCTTTAGTGGCCTCATTAAAAAAGTAAAAAGCAAACAGGTGGAATTAATTTTAATAATACGTTTTACTTACTTCGATATATCCAAATCTCACGTCAACAAATCATCAATTAAACACGTAATAAGAGAGTTTGCATTCTTTTCCACTCTAAATCTGTGAAATCCAGGACATAGTTTGCACTTGCAGCTGACCTCAGTTGGAACCAGCCCATTTCACGTGGCCAATACCCACAGGTGCCTAGTGGCTACTGTGTTGAACAGGACCCTCTAATCCTTGAGGTGCTGGGATTCAGGAGTAGCTGACTGTGTGGTGATAGCTGCTGCTGAACTTCAGGTTGCATCCTCTTTCTCTCTCTCTCTCACTCCTCGAGAAACATACAGCAAAAGCTCTTGGCAAAGCTTCCAACCTCATTGTCAGACCCATCTGATTTTATTCAGTGAGAAGGATTATGTGATCTGGCTTTTGATATGATGAGCTAAGTTCGAGTTGTATTTCTTTCAAGAGAATTTTGAGTCTGAAATACAAAAAGTGTCCCAGAAATACACCTATTCTCCCTTGTGCTGAGTCACTTTGGACAATTTAACCTCAAATCATGACAGGGAATGCTTGATACTTTGCTGTTCAACATTTTGTCAGCTCTAATGAGTGTTCAATTTATAACTAATGACAATGCATCTTATAGGGTGGGCCAGCCCATATGGGTGGGGGTCGATGTGAGAGGGTTGTCGTTATAATTTCAGCACGTACTTTAACAGTGGCAGTTGTACATTTTGCATAAAGGCCTGAAGTCTTGTGACATCAAGAATATATGAGGAAAAGAAAAGCGTCTTCCAATACAAATAATGTAATATGATAGTTATTCACATAATATTGCCCCTTTTCACTTGCGTTGTTTATTTAAAACCGAGTTAGGGAGGGTGTGACAAAATAACAGATGCTCCCATGAATGCTCATCTCTTTAAATCTGGCCTCAGCTGATGTCAGTCAGAGTCTACTAGACTAATGGGGCTGCTGCAAATCTCAGCTTTGCCGCCGGCTTGGGCACGTTTCCTCAGCGTCTCTGGCTCCCCGTATTCTTGTCTTCAACACAATGGGTGGAAGTGTGGTTCAGTGTCTAAGAAAGTCTCCAGCACAGTGTGGGATGGGGACAGGCTCCTGTTTTCCTTTTCTTCTCAGAAGCCCAAGAGCTGGTGCACCATCTTGTTCGTCTCGACTCACAGGTACAGGTTTGGGATCACAGTGTGCATTATTAGGGACAGAAAGAGAGTGCCACTGAGATAAAGGCAGGAAGAGAGTACCACTGAGATACAGGCAGAAGGCTACCAAGGACATCTTTATATTCTTTTGCAGACCACTGGGGTCACTTGAATTTAGAATTTACCAGGTGCAATTTTGCAAACTATCTTAATTATCTTGACATTATAAAAGCCTGTAATCTTGTACTTCTGACATCTGAGTAATTAGGGCTTTGAACACCAGTGCCTTCTAGGTCACAGGCTTGCATTTTTTCCACTGCAGATTGGCTGTCAGCCATTACCACCTTTCTGCTCCAATGGAAACCTTTCTAAATGAGAGCGGGATTGGACAGGATGGCTTTGATTTGAATCTCTGTAAAAACAACTTTCATGTATTGAGCTGCATTGAATTTTTATTTGCGCACTGAACTTTATTTTATATTTTAAAAAGACAAATAACAAGCAATTATATTTGGCAGATAAAAAGAGACATATGAGCATGATAAATTTGGCTGTGGATCTCTCTGACCTAATCTAATAATCATTTTGGTTTCAAAAGCCGAATGATTTCTCAGAGCAGCTTGTTACTTGCTTATACAGCTCAGTTAAGAAGAACACAAATAGTTCCCCAGGCACACCCAAGATACAGCAACATTATAAAACACTGCTTATTAATTGCTTTTTAGGTTAAGAATTATGGTAAGGTAAGATTTTGATTTTTGAGAGACATTAAAGTAAAATGATATTTACCCTTCACATGCTAATTTACCCTTGTAAGTTATGCGACATTTTTATCCATTCTGTAAGTTGTGTGAAGCTTTTGAAACATCTTTAGATAGAAGTTATTTCTTTTCAGTCTATTTTTCTAAGAACCTTTGCTGGCAAATAAGAAAGTTCATTTACCAGGGGATATGTATAAGTATTGAATGTTAAATATTTGTTGGGGGAAGATGAAAATGACATTAACGCATCAATTAACAGTTAGTGCAAATATTTTTAACACATTGTTAGGCCCTACTTCTGGTTTTCAAAATTATAACACCATTACGTCATAGGAATAAAATTCTCCTTATAAAATATTTATATACATATAGTACATATTATAGGGTGTGATATATATATAGTGTATATTATCTGTTATTTTATATATAAATACACAGTATTTTACAGGACTTGTTTATTCCAGAAGAAAGCAATTTTGTTAGAATTTTATATAAATCTACTTTTTGACTAAAATTTACTTTAAAGAAATGATACAATCCTTTGGGCAAACTATTGAACAAACAAAAATTCCCTTTTCACTTTCCATTGAGATGATTTAGTTGAAAACATTCAGTTGAAAAAATCAATGTACATATTTTAGAATACTTTTTTTAGACCAAGCTGAGGATTTGGGGTCTGTTCTTTACTGTGGGGGAGGGAATGAAGCCTCAAAAATGATCTTGTGCAATCGGAAAAGTTGTTAGAAGCCTGTGTCCGTGAGAATGAGAAGCAGGTAACCATACTTGGTGAGGATGCTCAACCAGCTACCATTGCGCTCCGGGGAGCATGTGACCAGTGTTACTGCGGCAGACCAGAGCCTGGGTCACCCCCGGTATACCGACTGTGAGTCAACCACTCCCTTAAAAAATGGAAGCAGTGCATCAGAGTCATGCAAAATATCTGCTACACCTGCCTGACGGGTCACTGATGGGCCATGCTCACCCTGCAGTGAGTTCCCTTAGAGGCGGGTTATGACGAGGGTCCCATCCCTGCCTCCTACTGCTGCTTTAATGCTGCTGGCCTGCCCACTCACCATCACCCAGAATAGCCTAAGATCCCACCCTGGGCACTAAGCTCTGTTTCTCTGTCTTTCACAGATTTCCCTCCCATGTATCGTCATGGTCCAGTGTGTCTTATTTCACTTCCCTGGACCTTCACTGCCTGGGTTAGGATCAGTGCAGTGTCAGAAATACAGACTTTAGGTCGCAGCTCCTACTCGGGTAAGTTACTTAGCCTCTCTGTCTCAGCTCTTTCGTCTCCAAAACACGTAAATTTATTACATTGACTCATTAAAACCCCAAGCCTTGAGAGGAAGGTTGATAGTACATGGATCTTTTCATTTGCAAGGATGGGGAAGAAAGGAAAAAGAGAGAATTTAAAGGTAATAGAATAAAGTTGGAGAACTTGTTCAAATGACAATTACATTGTCTGCTTTTAAATCATGTATTTTATTTATTTGTTTTGCCATATTTTGTTATTTAGTACCAACTAATTGCCAGACACTGTACTGGGCTCTCGGTGTACAAAAGTACAGAGAACCCAGATCCAGGGCCTTCCATTTGCATGGAGAGGAGGTTGTAATAGACATATGAACACACAGGTATAGCAAGTGTAGAAACTGAAGTGTGACAAGATATTTGTCAGGCAAGAGGAAGGCACTGACGGTGGCCCAGAATTCTGTCACAGAGGAGGAGACATTTGTCTTGAATTTCGAAAGGTGGAAAAGGGTTAATCAGCATTAGCGGGGAGGAATCTGGGCAGAAAAGGAAAGATTAGAGTGTGCTCAGCCTCTTTGGGAATTGATAAGTGGTTTGCACAACCGAAAAGCAAGGTGTGAGGGGAGGACCTATGAGATTCAATGGTGGGGCATGTAGACAAGGGTCCTAGGAGCCAGACAAAGGCATTTAGAGTTCACACTTCAGGAATCAATGACCACGACAATGATGTGACGAGGTCACAGAAACCAGCAGAGAACATAGTTTTTTTAAAAAAGTTGCCTGAATATAGCGGCTCCTGCCTGTAAGCTTAGCAATTTGGGAGGCCAAGGATGGAGGATAGCTTGAGTCCAGGAGTTCAAGACCAGCCTGAGCAACATAGCAAAATCCCATCTCTACACAAAATTTAAAAAATTAGTCCAGTGTGGTTGCATGTGGCTGTAGTTCCAGCTGCTCAGGAGGCTGAGGCAAGAGGATCGCTTGAGCCTGAGAGATTGAGACTGCAGTGAGCCATGATTGCACCACCCCATCCCTGCCTGGGCAACAGAGTGAGACTGTCTCAGAACAAAAAATATTATTAACATTTGTTTTGATTGACAAATCATAACTGTATACATTTGTGGGGTACAATGTGATATTTTGATAATTGTATACAAGATGAAATAATTAGATCAAGCTAACATATTCATCGCCTTGCTTACCTGTTCTCTTTCATGGTGAGACAATTGAAATTTATGCTCTCAGTTATTCTGAAATATATGACACATCATTACTGACTACAGTACCTTGCTATGCAATGGATCACCAACCCTCTGTCTATCTGAAACTTTGTTCTCTTTGATCATCAACTCCTCACTCCCTGTCTTCCCACACCCCGCACCTGTCAGCCTCTGGTAACCATCATTCTACTTCCTGTTTCTATGAGTTCAACCTTATTAGATTTCACATGCCAGTGAGATCATGGGGTATTTGTCTTTCTGCGCCTACCTTATTTCTCTCAGCATAAAGTCCTCCAGATTCATCCATGTTGTCACAAATGACAGGATTTCCTTCTTTTGAAAGGCTGAATAGTATGCCATTGTATATATACCACATTTATCCATTCATCCACGGATGGACACTTAGGTTGATTCCACATCTTGGCTGTTATGAATAGGGCTGCAATAACTATGGATGTGCAGACGTCTCTTGGACCTACCTTCAGTTCCTTTGGATACACACCCAGAAGTGAGATTACTGCATCATTTACTGGTTCTATATTCAGTTTTTTGAGGAACCTCCATGTCATTTTCCACAATGGCTGTAGTAATTTACATTTCCATTACGCATAAGAGTTCCCTTTCCTCTGCATCCTCTCCAACATTTATTTTTCATCTTTTCGATGATAGCCATTCCAACAGGGGTGAGGTGATAACTCATTGTGGTTTTTATTTGCATTTCTCTAATAATTAGAGATGCTGAGCATTTTTTCATGTACCAACTAGCTACTTGTAAATCTTCTTTTGAGGACTTTGGGTCCTTTGCCCATTTTAACATCATCTAATTATTTGTTTTCTTGCTATTGGGTTGAGTTTCTTTTATATTTTGGACATTAGCTGCTTACTTGATGTATGATTTGCAAATATTTTACTCCATTTTGTGGGCTGTCTCTTCTCTCTGCTGATTGTTTCCATTGCTGTGCAGAAGCTTTTGAGTTTGATGCCATTTTATTTGTGTGTTTTTGCTTTTATTGCCTGTGCTTTCAGGGTCTTATCCAAAAAAAATTATTGTCCACACCAACGTTATAGAACTTTCCCTTATGTTTTCTTCTAGTCATTTTAGAATTTCAGTTTTTATATTTAAGTCTTTTATCCATTTTTTAAATTTTATTTATTTATTTAGAGACAGGGTCTCACTCTGCCACCCAGGCTGGAGTGCAGTGGTGTGATCTTGGCTCACTGCAACCTCCGCCTCCTGGGTTCAAGTGATTCTCGTGGCTCAGCCTCCTGAGTAGCTCGGATTATAAGCACCTGCCACCAGCCTGGCTAAGTTTTGTATTTTTAGTAGAGATGGGGTTTCACCATGTTGCCCAGGCTGGTCTCAAACTCCTGACCTCAGGTGATGTACCTGTCTCAGCCTTCCAAAGTGCTGGGATTACAGGCATGAGCCACCATGCCAGGCCAAATCTTTTATCCATTTTAAGTGGATTTTTGTGTATGTCATAAGATAAGGGTCTAATTTCATTATTTCACATGTGGATATGCAGTTTTTCCAACATCATTTGTTGGAGAGACTCTCCTTTCCCCATTGTGTGTTCTTGGCACCCTCATCAAAAATCAGTTGACCATAAATGTGGGGGATTATTTCTGTGTGTTCCATTCTGTTCCATTGATTGATTTGTCTGTTTTTTATGCCAGTTCTAGGGTGTACTAATTGCAACTGCTAAAAGAGTTTAAAATGAGGGAGTGTGATGCCTCCAGCTGTGTTCTTTTCCTTCATGATTGTTTTGGCTATTTAAGGTCTTTTGTAGTTCCATGTGAATTTAAGGATTGTGTTTTCTATTTCTGTAAAAAATGACATTGAATATTTGATAAGGGCTGGACTGAATCTATAGAACATTGGGTAGTTTGTACATTTTCACAACATTATTTCTTCTACCCATAAACATGGAAAATATTTCTATTTATTTGTGTTTTCATCATTTTCTTTCATCAGCATTTTATAGTTTTCAGTATGCAGGTCTTTTACGTCCTGGGTTAAATTAATACCTAAGTATTTATTTATTTTGTTGCTATTGTAAATGGGATTTTTTTTTGAAATTTACTTTTTAAATATTTGTTATTAGTATATAGAACGCTATTGATTTTTGTACGTTGATTTTATATCCTGAAACCTTAATTTGTTTATATGTCCTAACAGTTTTTTTGTGGAGCCATTAGGGTGTTCTATATAAAAGATCAATTTGTCCGCAAATAGAGACATTTCACTTCTTCCCTCAATTAGAATGCCTTTTGTTTCTTTCTCTTGCTAAGACTTCTAGTGCTATGTTGAGTAGGAGTGGTGAGAGTGGGCATCCTTCTCCCTGATCCTAGGAGAAACGCTTTCGACTTTCCACCATTGAGAATGACGTTAGCTATGGGTGTGGCATGGGCGTCTCTCCTGTGCTGAGGCAGCTCCCTCTATGCTGGATTTGCGAGGGTTTGCTATTACGAAGGGCGTTGAAGCACGCTGGGGGCTGAGCCTGGAGCACCTGTGGGGGTGCTTCCTGTGGCGTGGTGCCTCTGGCTAGTTTCTCTGATGTGGCACCTCCATGGGCCAGGCCCGATCTGTGCCCTGTTTGCTGTGAGCCCCACCTGTTTTTGTTTCTAACTGGCCCTGTGGGCACTCCCAATGTTTCCCGTGGGACAAGACAGGTGTGAGCTCCTGCAAAGTGGCCCAGAATGGTGGGGATGTGTTTCCCATGGGACAAGACAGGCGTGAGCTCCTGCAAAGGGGCCCAGAATGGCGGGGAAGCGTTTCCTGTGGGACAAGACAGGCGTGAGCTCCTGCAAAGGGGCCCAGAATGGCGGGGAAGCGTTTCCCGTGGGACAAGACAGGCGTGAGCTCCTGCAATGGGGCCCAGAATGGCGGGGGAGCGTTTCCCGTGGGACAAGACAGGCGTGAGCTCCTGCAAAGGGGCCCAGAATCGTGGGGAAGCGTTTCCTGTGGGACAAGACAGGCGTGAGCTCCTGCAAAGGGGCCCAGAATGGTGGGGAAGCAGAACTTCTGCCTCCAACTCACTTTCTCACCGTGCAACTGCGGATCCAGAGGAATCTCTGCATGTGAGGCTCTGCCAGGTTGGGGAGGAGTGTGCGCTCAACATCTCTCTCCACTTTTTACCATTGCAACAGCTTTTCTTAGCTCTGGGGTCCAGGAGTGTGTCTCAGCCTTAGTCCTGAATTCTGGGACATGCACGATGGTATTCTTGCCTGTGGAGAGCTGCTAGTTGAATTTCTGTGGTGGTGAGTGATGTCAGTGAAGTCCCATTCTGGTTTCTCTCTGATGTCACACTGAGAGCACAGTTTTGGTGAGAAGATTATCTTTGTGTAAAAGCAAAGAAGAGAGGAAAGAACCTGCGTTTCTCCTCTGCACTATCCGCTGCGTTTTTCTGTAGAATTGGGTGTGCCATTTGCAAGAGCTGTGTGTGTGCAGCAGAGCAGGCAGCCAACCAATCCTTGCGGTTCAGTGTGAGTTGGGAGGGAGAAAGCGCAAACCACTAAGTGTAGACAACACGCAGGGAGTTCATTTGGGAAGTTTAGCGAGTGGTGTCCAAAGCAGAGTTGCTCCCTCAGCACTATGGGCAGTTTGGGCCACACAATTCTTTGTTGTTGGGGAGAGAAGGCTGTCCTGTGCCTTGTAGGAGGTTTGGCAGCATCCCTGGCCTGGACACCCCATGACAGTGGCAACCCCTCCCCTAGCGGTGACAAACATAAAGGTCTCTAGATGTTGCTAAATGTCCTCTGGTGGGGGTGGGAAGGGCATTGCCCTGTGTGAGGACCGCTGGTAGAGACTGTTGCAGGGTTCAGAAAAGAGATTTTTGTTTTTCAGTTGGGACATACATGATCAGTCTTGGGGAAGGAAGCAGAAGCAATGGTGGAATAGGACAAAGATAAAGGAAAGAGGTGGAAAGTGATGAACACAGACCGCGATGACCCGGTGTGGGGTGATATGGGCGAGGACAGCATCCAGCGAAGAGGTCCTGGCTCCTGACTGCAATTTGGTGGCTCTACTGTACCCTGTGCAACGGGTATAGGTTGGTGCTTATTTTCTCTCCATGTGGTCAGAAGTCTCATCTTCAAAGTGCTTAAGCTGTAGCCCTTGCCCTGTCACCTCTGGTTATTGCTGGGACCTGGGTCACACTCCTGGTTCATCTGCTGGCCCCAGGCCGGGTGAGGCTCCCATGTGCCTGCTGGCCTGAGAAAGGCTTATGTGAGTCACGGGCTACTAGGGGCAGAGAGAAGGGAACAGGATGGAGAAATTAAGTGAGGAATAAGATTGTAGAAAGCCAGGAAGAAGCCGAAAGGGGACTTGGCTCTGGCAGCATTTTGTTTTGCATCAGTCTGTGCTGGAATAAGCTGTCGAAAGGTTGTCTACCCATTGCCCCCTGGTACCTTGTGCTGTGCTCATTGTTGGCAAAACACTTGAATGATTGTGGCCTAAATGTGCAGTGATAAAAGACAGAACATAGCTTTGTTATTTTTCTAACCAGAATAGGAGAGTGGCTTTTGGAATCAAGATTTAAAATTCAGCCTTATCCTCATGATTTGCTTGTGTTTTGGCTTGTATTTTGGCTTGTGCTTGAAATGACAAGAAGGATCAAGGGTTTAAATGTGATCTTGAGAAGACATGAGAGAGAGAATTGATATTTTCCTATCTAATATTTATATTACTTTCCTGTATAGAGTAGGCTAAGGATTTTATTTGGACGCTAATTGTATGTAATTCCTATAGCAGTTATTTTGATTAAGCCAACTAGATTTACCTCTAATTATTCATTTTAAGCCCTAGATTTAAAGATAACTTTTTATTCTCTGTAAACAACCTAAAAGTTGCCTTAGATTTATTTCATAATATGTAAAAATGCTGAAAAAGGGCTAGTTTGGCTGGAGAGACATTTTAATTTTTCCCTTTAATTTTAAATGACAATAGTGTGTGTATAGGAGCTGCGTTTCCTACCGAATATTCACCTGGTGTGGAGACTGAATAACATGCCACTCTAAGGGTTAATAAAAGCATTAAATAACTTGCATCTGGGAAACATCAATTGAATAGATAATTGCTTCTTTGTGTTTCTGCTTAGTAGTGGCTGGACATGTAAAGTTTCTATACCACAAAATGAAAACAGATGAGCAAACAAGAGGCCCGGGGTCACATAACCGATGCGTGCTCAAAGCTCGAAGCAGCGTCAATCAAACCTGGAGGGTACCATGTCGAGAGATGGTATCTTTCCATTAATCAGGAATTGGTACCCGGGTGATAGACGGCCTCTGTAATGAAAACCTCAGTTAGCAAACAGCCAGAAGAGAGAGAAAATAATCCAACCAGCCAAATAATCAAAGAACACATGAGGTGTCTGTAGGGAGATTTCCACAGTGGGAAACCCATAGAAAAAGTTCTGTCTCTCACTCTTGTTTTTGTTTTTTGGTTTTGGATACAATTTCATTTAAGTAGAAAGATCATCCATGATTTTCTCAATCTTCCTTATGTCTTTTATGCACTATACTTGCCAAAGTAGCATAGACAGAAAAAAAGCAGGAATCCTATGGATTTCCACCCTTAGTCCTTCAACTAACTTTAAAATAACTTTTAATTTTCTTATTCAGGTCTACATTCTAAGTCACACTCCCCTCCCACATGTCTTTGCCTGCTATTTTACTTCATTAATATTTACCAGCTTTTCTGAATTTAGACACCTAATTTTGTATTTTCATGTATTTCTCTGCATATCCTTCAGATCCTTATTTTCCTCAATATTCATGTAAAATATATAAACTATAATTTCTGTGTTCTTTTAAGAGATAGCAAGTACCTAAACAAAGGGGTGTTCTCCCGTGATTTTTTTAACTCAGCATTTTTTGCCAGAAATGGTCATTTGGGATTTATTCCCACGCCCTTGTGTTTTTCCCTCCCCCTCCCCTTTCCCTCCCTTCCCTCCCTTTATCTTTTTCTCTCTCCCTTCCTCCTGCCCACCCACCCTACATTTTTCCCTCCCTCCCTTCTTGCTCCCTCCCTCTCTTTCTTCCTCCCTCCCACCCTCCTTTCCTTCTTTTCCTCTCTTTCTTTGTCCTTTCTTCTCTTCCCTCCTCCTTTCCACCCTTTTCCTTTCACCACTATTTATTGAGTGCTTATTGCACAAGAGACTTTGAGTGTCCAGTGCTGGCTTGTGGCAGGACAAGCTGCAGACAAAACCCCTCAGACACCGAGTTGTAGAAGAAAGGGCTTTATTCGGCTGGGAGCTTCAGCAAGACTCACGTCTCCAACAACCGACCTCCCCAAATGAGCAATTCCTGTCCCTTTTAAGGGCTCACAACTCTAAGGGGGTCCGCGTGAGAGGATCGTGATCGACTGAGCAAGCTGAGGGTTCATGACTGGGGGCTGCATGCACTGGTAGTTAGAACGGAGAAGAACAGGACAGGGATTTTCACAGTGCTTTTCCATACAATATCTGTAATCTATAGTTAACCTGACCGATTAGGTCAGGGGTCGATCTTTAACTACCAGGCCCAGGGTGTGGCACTGGGCTGTCTGCCTGTGGATTTCATTTCTGCCTTTTAGTTTTTACTTCTTATTTCTTTGGAGGCAGAAATTGCGCATAAGACGATATGAGTAGTGGTCTCCTCCCTTAGCTAAGGACTCTGACTCCTCCTTCTGTGGGGCTCCATGTATTCTTTCTCATTGGCAACACTGGGAATAGCAGGGCCCAGTTGAGTTTGGAGAGTGTTGCTTAGTGCTCTTTAGTTGCAACCATCTGAAAATAACATGAAAAGAAAGGGGAATTTCCTGAAAAATGTTGGTGGTAGCAATGAGAGCAAGGCTCAAAGAATAAACTGGAAGCTGAGAAACTAGGCTTGAAAATAGAAATCAAAGGGACTGGGGAAGCAAGGACCCTGCATTCGTCTCTGGGCAGGAAGGGTTCGCTCAGCGCACTGGTGCTGCGATAAATATCATGTGCCTCTGCTGTTCTCTCATCACGGATCAAGAGTCCAAGCCTGGAGGGAGAGCGACTGACAGCCATGGTCTGGTCACACGCCTGCCTGAGAGCTGCACGGGAGCCGGCGAGGAAAAGCCCTTGCTGCTTCCAGTGTAAGGCAGGTGTCTGGATTTTTCTTCAAGAGAGCCAACACGATGAATGAAGGAACTTAAATCATGGCACGGTTAGAAAGAAAAGTAGCAAGACAGGAACTACTCCTTCCCTCCAAACAAAAAGAAAAACAAAATGAGATATTCACTGTAATTAATATGAATTTGCAAGGGAAATAATGCAGTATATGATCTCAGTCTCAACTTATATCTTTATTTCAACTATATCTACTTCAGAAAGGATTTGAAGGGTTTCCAATAAAAGACAAATAAAATGTTATAAATGGTAGATAAATGAAGATCAAATATGACCCTGGTAGAGGTATGAGAATTTTGTCTGTCTTGTTCAAGAGCTACACTGGCTGCACCTGATATAGTAGATGCTCAATAAGTATCATTACCTTCTGCCAGGTCCCTCCCAGGACACATGGGGATTATGGGAACTACAATTCAAGATGAGATTTGATTAGGGACACAGCCAAACCATATCAGTATTATATTTTATTGCAACTATTGGCTCAATAGGTGCACTATGTATTTTTGTTCAAAGTTATTGCTCAAGCGTTTACCGTGTATATTGTTAACTTATCACAGTTTATTCTTAAGTACTATTATATCATCTCCCAAGTAATATAAAAATCTTACAGCAGTCCTGGCTTTTCGTGGTTCTTATATGCAGGAATTTTTGTTACTGTGCTTTGGTTAGATAACATATATAATTCCTTCATGGACACAGTGCAAATTTCACTTTCCACAGTGTATTAACTATGTGTAATTTCATTCAGTACAAATTTTGATGCTGGTTTTTAGTACAAAAATTAGTAAGTATTTAATGGACAAGCATGATGATCAGTGAGCAATCATGCTGTCTCTGTGAAAGTGTGCTGGTTATTTGTCGCTGTGTACCTGTGCGTCTGTATGAATTTAGTTTAGACAGATATCAAGGTGTGTAGTTGTGTAAACTACTTGTCCTCCAGTCATAAACTCACATAATTTAACTTTTAAAGCACCATCACTGTTGGATAAGTGTCCAGGTCACCTTTATTCATTTGGATACCTCCATGAAGATGTTAAAAAGCCGCTTTTTACTAACAAATACAACTTTAATCGTCCAGCTAGTGGACCAAGGAGTTATTTCAATGTTTAAAGCCTACTGTCTTAGACAAACTTTTCAACAGACTACTGAAGCTACAACTGGAGATCATGCAATTTTTAAGCGAAGTTTTGAAAGATATATTACTTAAAAATGCAGTTGAAATACTTAAGCATCATGGCGGCAAAGAAAGTGAGTAATATGTGTGTGCAGTACAGCAGAAACTTGTATTGCTCTGTGAAAATAACATGCAGGATACCAACAGAATGCAAGTGGAGCTATTGGCTCATTTTGCTCCTGCTTGTGCAGAACTTTTCATGTCAGGCCATCTCCTGGGCTACTGGTGAGTTTATGGATCGGCCCAGCTGTAGTCTATCCTGTTGTTCCTGAAGTGGGGTGGAGGTCAGCCAGCAGCCTGCAAAAATGTTAGAAAATAAGAGTCAAGCAGGACTTCTGATGCCCCCAGATCATGTTATTGTTATGATCAGCCATCCACAGCAAGTGTCTTATTTGCATTATATCCGATGATAGTGATGGATCTGCATTGCTGTTTGCCTCTTGTAACCCACAGTGTGAGAATGCAAAATCCAGGGTTAGGAGTGCAGTCAGTGGCAGTGTGACTAGGTGTTTCTCTGTAGGATACTAAGAAAAATACAGCCCAGGAAACTGTTAGTGCTTTCATTTTGTTTCACTATAGGTCTGCCTGGATGATCAAAACAGATGGGAAGGAGCCATGGTGGGGCAATGATCCTGTTCTGTTGCCTCCTGGAGATTCAAGCATTATATATGGAGAGCTATCATCTCTACCCCTCCTCCCGGTTTACTCTCATGGTGAGCTCAGGTAGAGTTTAGCAGGGATGTTCATGTGAATATCGTCTGTGTTCGTGAATAGGCTCGTATTTCAGTTGCAAGCAACATGATAACCTTAAAGTTCAGTTGCTGGTTAATAACTGTCTTTTTTATTAAGTTGATACTGAACTTGATGTCTTTTTGCAGTACTAACAGAGATTACTGGTGCTACCTTTTAGCTTTTGATCATTTATGCAAGCCTAGATCTTTAGCTTTACGTTGTAAAAGGGGTATTTTTTTCAACATTTTTTTGGTGAGAGTATTAAAGTTGACATTATTATGATCACAAGTGTAAACAGGTATATAAGGAAGTGGCGATACATTGTTAAGACTGCTGTTATTCATGATGCTTAGCCAAATGGAGGTGCAATTAATACTGCCATGTAGAACTGGAATAACGTCAGCTCAGGAACAGCAAGTTTAGATAGTTTGACTGTAGTGAATTTTCATGAATGGAATAGTTAATCATTTTAGTGGATCTTGGGGGTCAATTCAGGCTGTTTTACTTGATCCACTTCTTATCATTATCCTAACAAAGTCTTCTGAGATAACACAGCACTGATAGTTGCTAACAGACTTTATATCTACCACGTTATTAGCATTTTATCTTGATACACTGATAAAATAAGCTTCAGGAATACTTAAAAGATTGCAATGGCTTCCAGCTGCCAAATGCTAGATTTAATTATTTTTTAGGACCAACATGAGGGTTTAGACACACCACTTGTGGTGCAGCACACATGTATTATCCAAACTGAAATTAGCAATTCAACTGAAGTCCATGTAGAGTCGAAAAATGTGAATATTTGGAGATGATCTAGCTCACTTTATTTTGTAGAAAAGAAAACAGATTCAGGGAAAGGGCATGCATTGCCTAAGGTGATTCAGCAGGTTTGGAGCAGAAATGCAATACAATCTCTGTTCTTTTGCTTCTCAGATCCAGAATTTTTTCACAGTACTGAACTACTTATGTTTCTGATTCCTTATTTTTTCTGTTTTATATTTTGCCAATATTGTCTTACCAAGATCCTATTCTTTACCCCAAATATTTAAATTCATTACCACTATTGTCTCTTTATAAGTAAAAGTACTAGTTGTTATTATAAATGATTATTCGATCACTTTTCATTTTTTTTTGGGTCCAGCACAAAGTTAGTAACAAATAAACATTATAGGCCTTGGCAATCCAAGGGGAGCTCAAGTCCTCCAGGGCACGTCAGGAAAAGGCTAAACGACAGCTGAGCTTCGAGTGGACAGAATACAGCTCTCATACGGACTGTTGAGTATTTGATGTTCTTCAACAATTTCATTCATCTTCAGTTTTTTCCTCTTTGAAGTGATGGATTTAGTCCTTGCTATACTCGACTTTCAAGTTTCTTTTGAAATAATTATAGATTCACAGGAAGTTGCAAAAGGTACAGGGATGTCTTAGGTACTCTTCACTAATTCTCCCAACGGTGACATCTCGCATAGCCATAGAGCATATCAAAACCTGGAAACTGACATAGGTACAATTCAGAAAGCTTGCTCAGATCACAACCATTTTGTACACATTTGTTTTTGTATGTATGTGTGTGTGTATTTGTGTGCATGTGTTCTGTGCATTTTTATCTCGTGTAGATCTCTGTAACTACAACCTCGACAGTCAAGATACAGAACTGTAGCCTCACCGCCAGGCTCCAACTTGCAATCTTTGTGGACACTCTGACACATTTTCCTCCATCCCTTCCCCTTGGCAACCCCATAGTCTGTTCTCCATCTTTACAATTTTATTTCTATAATTCATATAAATGTAATTGTACAAAATCGTATTTTTGAAGGGAAGAAACAAGTCACAGATATTTTTGTTAGCACTGCAAAATAATCTTTAATGCTAATTTATTCTATGTTCTATTTGTCTCAAAAAATGTGCTTTGTTCTTTCCCATATTTTCTGATATCAGGATAGGAAATCAATAGCAAACAAAACATAATTCCATTCATTTTTTTCCACAGCTTGTTTCTCACTGCTGTTTCCTAACGGTTATTGTTCCATTTACTCTTTCTCTCTGTTTTCCATCACATAAAAGTAACTTTGTGTTCCTTATCTCTTCTAAGAAAACTTGGTAATGAGTCTTTAATTGAAGCCCAGACCACCCTTGTTTTGATTTTGTGTTATGGGTGTTCTTTTTTGTGATCGCTTTCATGGAGAGTCCTTGTGAAGCTGGGCTTTTCCAATGGTTTGTCAAAATGGAAATAGATATTTAACAAACCAAACACAAAATGACCTTGCTCCAGGAATGCATCATTTCTGAGAAAACACTACCTCTTCCAACTAGAGATTGTGAATATTACTCATATTATCCTTTACTCCCTTTTATTAAAACTGTATTTTTTTTACACATTTGTATAACTCGGGTAATGAAATGTGAAACTAAGTGATTGCCTACCAATTACAATTGATATTAACGATGCTAGTGAGAGGCCACCTCTACAGTGGCTGCGCCGTGTCTAGGGACTTGCTAGCTTTGCTAAGTTACATGGGATTGCCTGCGTACTAAATGCAAACTTACTCATGTACATAGGAAACCATTTGTATTAATATGATTAAGAAGCCCTGCCTAACCCTGATGAAAAATTACTTGAAAATAACAGAAGACAGAGTCCTTATTTTAAAGTACATTAACTATTGGGAGTAATTACTATTAGTCCAACCATAACTGGATCTAATGAGACTGAATAGAAACAAATTAGACATAATTGGAAGCTAAGCAAAAGTCAATTAAATTCCTATAATTTTACCTTTATAAAAATTATTGAATTAAATGACCCGGATCAATTAGCAGAGGAAATAAAGCCATGAAGAATATTTCCAGGAAACTATTACCTTTTTTGAGGGAAAAATATTGTTTCACTTAATGATTAGAGTTTAGTAAAATGTAGCTTAATGAATTTTGCTGCCTTAGCAGTTTAATAACTTCAAATGAAGTAATTATGCAAATTTTTTGATAGTTTTACCTACAAAGTAATGCAGGAGTTGTTTTAAGGAATCCAGGAGTAGAATTTATTTGATAGAATAAAATAACATATTTATAAAAATCAGCAAATTCAGATGGTTTGGAATAAAGATATGATTGCTTTTACTCAATGTTCACTTTAGGGCTGGGTCAGCTGTGTGGGAATTGCAGTTGACCTGTTGTAGAAATTGTGTGCTTGGAAATATATCACCACATTGCTCCATGTAGACTCCCTCTGTGATTCAAGTCTTGTTCCTACAGCACTGCTGTCAACCCTCAACCACCGTCACCCTATAGACCCCAAGTCAGTTTGTATTCAGTAATGCAAGTGGTGTTCTGTGCAACTGGTCACCCAAGAACTTGGTGCTAAGAAACTGAGAAAGTGATGACCAAGACAATCTCATCAAAACACAGCCAGGGCCAGTCACAGTATCGTAATTTCTGCTTTCTGGATGTTCAAGGAAATGTAGATCATGGCTCCTTCTGTGATGCCTCATTATCTTCAAAAGGAGCTATAAGCGTACACTCATTTCCAAATGTGATGGAATAAGATCGCAGTTTCAATGAGGTCCTGAAGGATAATTAATTATATAATAGTTATCAAAATATTAATTCTGTAAGGACAGTCACAAAGGAAAGAACAGTGGCAAATAGGTCTCAGGAAATACATCAAATGGGATGTTCAGGTGTGATGCAGCTTCGTACATACTATGCTAAATACATTATGTCTGTAATTAAACCAGCTGCATACACAATGCAGGTGTGGCAAATTCTTTGCTGAAACATGTATGCCAGTTTCCTCATTTTTTAAAATGACAAGTGCATGCTTAATCAGGTTAGAGTGGATAGATTATGATATTATCAATGCACTGGACAAATCCATTAATGATACAGTGAGATTTTGTGCAGAAAAATGGAATAGAGAGGTGTGAATCCAAACTTTGAAGAATAAAGAACATACATTTGTAATTAGGAAATATCTCTCACTTTCATCCCTTATGTGCCACACATAGCACAATCCAGCCCCACCCAGCCATGACTCTTACATTTATCACTCCTGACAAAGCCGGCCTGGCAATTCAGACCCGGAGCCCGGAGAAAAAAGAGGAATCCCATGATTTCTGGCAAACACTGCTGCTTCTTTTGTAGTGGTGTGAGATGAATGCCTCTACATGCACACAAGTGCCATGTTGAGGGGGATGAATCTTTCAAGATTTGTTTAAAGTCAAATAATGTGAAGGTCCATGACTGACCTCCAGGCCTCTCAGAGCTTCAGTTAACTCCTTTGTGTTAGGGGATGTTAGAAGAACGTTTACAAGTCAGAGCAGGTGATGCTCAGGAGCAAGAGTGAATGAGGAGGAGGAACCCAAACAGGTCCAGCACAGAACATCAGCATCTGAGCATGAAGTCTACCCCTGAGAAAAAGTGGTCCAAAGGTTTGTGTGAACCCCATTCTCCAGGCCTTACAAACCCTGTGATTTCTGCCTCATTCTGTCCCGTCCTGTCACTTTGAGTCTGAATTGGAAGAGAGAAAAACAGTAACTAGATTAGTAAAGTAAGGAGGAGTGAAGAGCAGGAAGGTGGAGGTCGTGGTGGTGGAAGATGGAAACCTCTGCGAGTGAAATAGAACAGTTTGGATGTCAGCTGTGACTGCTCTAGATCTCCTAAAACCCACTCCATTTTTATTAAAAATATACATTGCATTTTTCCAGTGTACACGATATCATGTTAAGAGTTCATAAAGTTTTGAGGATGTGAGTCATCAGAAAGGAGGTTTAAAGAACCGATTATTTTGGTGGTCTGACTCCTTTACCCCAGTAGGAAAAGCTGCCATTTTGCTTATGCCCTGTGCTGAATCTCAGAATGCCTGTCAACCCAACACGCTTCAGCATGAACTTTAACTCAAAAAATCAAAAAGTACCAGGATCAATTTACAATCCTAGCTATATGATATTTTAGAAATTACAAAGCCTGTAAATGAGCTATTTTGTCAACTTCATAGATGAGAAATCTAAGAGTGGGTTAGTAAGTTCTCTTAGATTTCTCATATCCATAAAGTGGATAGAACATCTAATTTAGAGGCTTGTTGAAGGACAGACAGAAATGGCATTTATAAAGTATCTAGTGAAACTACTGCTAGGGATTATATGCTCAGTAAATGATGAGCACTATAATCACAAATAATTTGATCTTTGCCAGTGTAAAATGTATTTGTCTGTCTGCTTGGTTTTTCTCGGAGGCATAGTTTCCCTCTGTCACTCAGGCTGGAGTGCAGTGCTGTGCTCACTGCAACCTCTGCCTCCCAGGTTCAAGTGATTCTCCTGCCTCAGCTGGGATTGCAGGAGCCCGCCACCATGGCCCAACTAATTTTTGAGTTTTTACTAGAGATGGGATTTCACCATGTTACCCAGGATGGCCTTGAACTCTTGGCCTCAAGCGATCCATCCACCTTGGCCTCCGAAAGTGCTGGGATTACAGGCGTGAGCCACTATGCCCGGCCACATTTATGTTAATTCAGAGAACAATTTTTCAGTAAGGTTGTACAAATGATTGTCCTACATTCCTGCATGTTTGAAACTCTTTTTCTCTTTTCATCTCCATATGTGAATGACAGTTTGGCTAGGTATAGAATGCTTGGTTTACACTTTTTATTGTTCATAAATCTATAGTCTTATCTTTGTTTCTATCCTCTATACCAGCTTGAGTAGGATTAAGTGTGGGATTCACTATAAAACTCTATACCCACTGAACAAGTCCTCTTTTCCCCCTCCGCTAGTCCCTGGCACCTGTCATTTTACGTCTCTGTTTCTAAGAGTTTGACTACTTTAAAAACCTCATATAAGAAGGATCATGCAGCACTGTGTTTGTATTTTTGTGACTGGTTTATTTCACTTAGTATAGTATCCCCAAGGTTTATCTATGTTATGACATATGACACGATTTCTTTCTTTTTTAAGGCTGAATAATAATTTATTGTGTATATACCACTTTTTAAAATCCATTCATCTCTTGACAGATATTTAGGTTGCTTTTACCTCTTGGCTATTATGAATAATGCTGCAATGAACATGAGATGAACAAGCTCCTTTTTTATCTCTTTACTTTTGTTAGAAGCTTTTAATTCCTGATTAATGAGTTCTGAATGTATGCAGAGGTCTCTACCTGGCAGTGACCTAAAAGCCTTGTCTTCTGCCACCCTGCTCAGCCTTCAGATTCAAGTCTCTAGATTCTTGAGGTTGGGAAATGTTTCCGGAGCAGCCATGGTTTTGCATTCATTGGCCATTCAGGTTTTCTGCTTTGCCGTTTCCCCCCCATTCAGGTTTTCTGCTTTGCCATTTCCCCGGGGGTTTCCTTACCCTCTTGGAAGAACAACCATGCATTAAGTCCATGTTGACTGTATTTTACCTGCTGTTTCTATGTGTTTTGCAATAAGGGCTTTTCAAAATACCCATAACTTGTGGCTAAAAATGAGGTTTGTTCCAATGTGCCTTAGAAAGATCCAGTTTCATACTTACCTGGCAGGGCAGATACCATGATCTTAAAGGCAGTTTTCCCAGGGCAAGGCTTATCCATTCCACTCTGGATCCATTATAGGGGCATGCTGATCCCTGGAATTGCCCCAAATGTGGGAAGCTCTACTGCAAAATTTTTGGTAGTGAGCGATGGCATTATGCATTCATGTACGAATTCAACTGAGTATCCAGTTTCATACAAATAATAATAACATCTTCTATAAAATGTATTCTTGTGTATTAACACATGGGGCTCTGTAGTACTCCAGCTGAGATATATGGGAATCTTACCCTAGTTTTGCCATTTTCTCCTAACATCAGTCTACTTCTTTTAATATTCATTGCTTCTCCCCATTTCTGTAGTTCAGTGCATGTTCCTTTCCTCTGCAGGAACTACTTCTCTTTCCTCACCCAACTCATAAATCTCTGCCTCCCACCCTAAGGGTAGGCACATGACCCAACCTGGGAGATCAGAATGCCACACCCCCAATACAGGATTGGTTTGTGAGTAGGCAGATGATTCTGTCCATGCACAGAACTAAGTAGAAGAGAGTTTTTACACCTCAGCTTAGCTTGATGCTAGCAGAGAGCTACTGGAGTTCTATTTCCTCCTCTAGGGAAGAAAAGGATTTTGGTTTGGAGATAAAGCCAAGATACCAAGAAAGTGGGAATGAAAGACTTAGAGACAGGGAGTCCTGGCCCCTTTTCAGATGCTCAGATGCTGGCACTAGCTTGAGGCCCAGTCCTGCTTCTGCTCTTCCCAACAGCCCCTTTTCAGATGTTGGCACTAGCTTGAGGCCCAGCTCTACTTCTGCTCTTCTCAACATTTGGTAAGGGGAGCTCCCAATTTCTTTTCTAAGATAGCTGGTTTGACTTGGATATCCATCTCTTCTAATCAAGGGTCCTGATTCCTTGTCATTGTCATCAAAAAAATATTTGTAAATATTTCACTTCTCGCTGGTGTTGAACAAAGTGATTTGCACAGATACAATCTCTGCATCTTAATAGCTTACATTCTAAGAGCTGTACACCTGGCACTCTTTCTCTGGAACTATAACTGCTAAGTTCACGAATCTTTATTAATAATGCTTTTCAGATATATAGTTAAAAAATAATTTTAATAGTTGAAAGGCATCCATCTTTCCAAGAGGTTCAGACATACTGCAATTGAGTGCTAAGTAACTTTTATTTTGTATTTTTTAATATTTGTATTTCCATAGGTTATTGGGGAACAAGTGGTACTCAAGATGGATGAAGGACTTAAATCCAAGACAAGAAACTATAAAAATTCTAAAAGACAACATTGGAAAAACTCTTCTAGACATTGGCTTAGGCAAGGATTTCACGAACAAGAACCCATAAGCAAACGCAATAAGAACAAAAATAAATAGCTGGGACCTAATCAAACTAAAGAGCTTTTGCACAGCAAAAGGAACAGTCAGCAGAGTAAACAGACAACACACAGAGTGGGAGAAAATCTTCACAATCTATACATCTGACAAAGGACTGATATCCAGAATCTACAATGGACTCAAACAAATTAGCAAGAAACAAATAATCCCATCAAAAAGTGGGCTAAGGACATGAATAGACTTTTAGGTTACTTTTAGGTATTTGTGTGTGCAGACCTCTTGGTGTCAAGGCTAAACTGTTCCTTTCTCTGACACATGGGAAATTGATGCACAATACCTTGCAGTGTATAATTCCAGGCCCCTAGGCACTGGAGACTGGGTTATCTTTTCACTCAACTGACAGTTGATACATTGTTTGCACTGAAAAATCTGGCTTTGTTGAACCACACCAGTTTATGTTTTTAATTCCAAATCTTACCTTGTTATGAACTATTTTTTTGTCCTTTCCTCTAGAGAAATGCTAATGCTGCTTGCTTACATGGAAAGTAAAGTTAAGGAGTTGGTGTTGACATTTTGGCTTGCTGTCACAGGCAAAAAAGAATAGTGCTGTTTTTGTGTGTTTAATTTTCTTTCACTTTCCCCACTCTGTGTATTGGAGGATGCCTTTAGCAATAAGTAGTCCTTATCCAGGTCACTCACTCATTAACCGCCAACCACTGACAGTAATGTCTTTACTAGATATTTTGCTTCTTTTGATTAATTTGTCTCTATTTCCTTTGTTCTAAAGCCTATAGTGAGTAATCATATTTGGAGTAATAGCAGAGCTCCCTGCTGTGTTTTCATTTGCTTAAATCAAGACTTAGCTGCTGTATTGAGGAACCAAGACTGAGATGTGGGGCTAGGAGGGCCTAGGGTCTGTCAGGCACTCTTCAGTGACTTGAGGTGCTGAATGACTCACACTGTACTGGGAGATGACCACCTGTGTGCATCCAACACAGTCACAGATAGTGCCATTGAGCCACCAGGAGCAGCCACAGACCATCAGTGGTTGTGCTTTGGAATACGCAATTTTGTGTTTCTGGTGAGCTGTAATCTTTTCTTTTCCCATAGAATTATTTTTCATTGAATTATGCTATTAAAACTCATCTTTGGGTTTCTTGTAACGTCATTGCCGAGAACGTTATTTTTGCATTTCACAGTGATTTCTTGAGGAGGAAGTAAGAAGTAATTGTTTTCTGGACTCACTGTCTGAAAAACTTGCACTTTACTGAAGCGATTGT
The DNA here is from genome assembly GCF_000001405.40 of Homo sapiens. NCBI lineage: Eukaryota > Metazoa > Chordata > Mammalia > Primates > Hominidae > Homo > Homo sapiens. Next base: position 40,630 of record NT_187543.1, on the reverse strand, counting down.
TTTGTTTACACTAAGTAACAATATGAGTTTTGTTAGCTTTTTGGATGGACTACAAAGCATAAAACCAACTTTGTTCCTCATCTCTGGCAAAGATGGAGGGTTGTTGGCTTGTGTTGTGTGATGAGTCTTATACCTGGCTCTGTCTGCTCTTGCCTTTTGCCTTACATTTCAAAGACCTCACTTTTTTCTTTTCTTTTTTTAAAAAATATTTTATCACATGATTTTCTATACATTTTAATAAAATTTCTTTTTTGTAAAAAAAGCAAAGCATAAATAAAATAGGGTAGCCATTTCTTCTAAGGTTATGTTGAATCTAACCCAAACTCTTATCAGAGAAAACTCTGCTTTAGATGTAGCCTAAAGCAGGAAGCAACAAACCTGTATACAGCCAAAGTATCATCTCAAGGGCCTGCATTCAAATCTCACACATGTGGCTTGAAAGTGATCTCTTTTGCCCTTATTTCAAGGCCTAATCTTAGGTTACATAGTACTTAAAGAAGCTTCAGTATGCAATTTCAAAGCCTGTAGTAGATGTAAAATGAGAAAATTAGAAATAAGGAGAAAAGCTGCTACATGAGGACACTGACAGCAAGGAAAGGGAGAGAAAAACTCACAAAGTAAGTGGAAAAATAGACCAATGCAAATAACCCCACATAGTTTAACAGACCTCATCATATCTATTGTGTACATGTTTGTATGACATAGATTATATCTATTATATGTAATCCAGTGTTCATAGTGTTGACTTAGAAATTATCAACCAAATTCAAAGCTTTTAGGCTTTGAAAATTGTTTGAAAAGATTTTCACCCAAAATATTTAAATTATTAAAAAAAATTATTGTTGATTAAAGTTGTAATCCTCAATTAATTAGAAGTTTTGGCTATCCAGAGACCTTATATTCCAAAGACTTTAGAGAGTTGTTTGTTAGATCACATAAATTATTACCAATATCCTACATTTAAGCTTCTAATTTACGTAAATTGTGAGCAAAATTGAGAGCCACACAAATATTCAATCTCTGAAGCTCTTATGGCAGCATTGATCAAATAGGTTAGAGAACACATGGATACAGCTTTATTGCCTTCTAGTTTTACTGCAAACGTGTTATTTAATAGTATGCAAATGATTGGCTAGATGTACAGACTGCCAGGGCCTTCATAGCAAACAGGTTTTGTGTTTACCCTAGCATACAAAAATGCTTCATCTACGATGTATGCTGTAACTGTGTGTATTGTCTACCCTAGCATGCAAAAATGCTTCATCTAAAATGTATGCTATAACTATGTGTATTATATTATCTATAATTATATTTCTCCTTGGTTTAATATTAGATATTTTCAGGTACAAGAAATGTATGCACATTATAGATTCAATGCATGTAGGTTATATGTGTAAATATTTATTGATAAGAGGCATTAAACCCCTGCCTTCTATGCTGGATAAACTCCTGAACTTAGCCTCCAAAACACCACAGTAGCCTCCCTGGTAAGCACAGGGCTCTTTCTCTACCCTTTTGTGTCTCCCACGCTCCCACTTGTCTACAAGAGCTGAGTGTAGACCAAGAGCAATAAAGTTCATTTCCCCAAAATAAGGCGTAGCATTCAGGTTTTGTGATACCTGATTGGTTTACATTGTTTACAGGTGGGGCCTCGAAGGGGTAAAAATCAGAAGCTTCTTATTCTGAGCGCAAGGGCAAGATCATTGAGCAGACATTGACCTCCCTTCAGACATTTCTTGGGAGGAACAGAATGAGAATTTCAGGGGCCAGTGCCTGCACCCTACTAGCTGTGGCAGCCTGGTGCTCATCTACTTCTCCAGCTTGGGAAGGCCTAGGTTAACCCCAGTCTTTGGAGGCATTGTTATTCCTCTTCTCTCCCTGCTTCCCCGTGTTTGTGTTCTGGGCCCGGTGTAACACTGAGGTTCAGAATTGCTTTCAAGAGAGGAGCCCATTTCTGTGTCTATGCAAGGCTGGACAATTTCTCCAAGTGGTTCAGCCTGTGGGGGTTAACGGGGCAAAAGCATCTCAGCTAGTAATAAACACTGCTTCGCCTCTTGCTTTTTTATTTTTATTTTTGCAAAACTTCTCTGTAGGTGTGTATTTCTCTAGAGGATTTCAAAAATTCTCTGTAGGTGCGTATTTCTGTAGAGGAAGGAGTGGTGACTGGGCCAGGGTGAATGGATTATTTGATCTATATTATCTTGAATTTTATATCTTTTATTTTAAAATTTGGGTGTTTTTTGAAGTAGGAAATCAATGCACATGGCTGAATATCTAAAAAGTGTAAAAGTATACATTGAAAAGTCTTCCTCCTAATCTCGTGATTGTCTTCGTTTCAGTCCCCATGGCCACATCATGAGGCTACTGATGTCATTAGTTTCTTTTGCGTTCTTCTAGGGTTTCTGTTGGCATATGCAAGCAACAATAAATGTATACCTTTATGTTTTCTCTTTTTACAGCAAGGACAGTTTATTAAACACACTGTTTTAAACCTTATTTTTTCTCTAAATAATATTTCATATAAGTCAGTATGTAGACTTTATGTATTTTTAAAATGAAGACATAGCGTTCCACTGAACTTAGACAATAATTTACTTAACTAGTCCAAGATTGAAGAATAAAATTATTTTGAATCTTTTGTTAATAGTTAATAGCTTTGATGAGTACACTTATGCATACATTATTTTACACATGTTCAAGTATGTTGTATAAACCCCAAAGTGGGAATGCTCTGTCAAATATTACAGGTATTTGCAACTTTGATAGATACTAATTGCCCTCGATAGAGGTAGTAAAAGCTTACACTCCACAGCCTTACTGATGATATATATTATAAAACTTTTAGTTCTTGCCAATCTAAACGTGAAAAATGGTATTTCATGGTAATTTAAATGCTTTTCTCGTTTTATAACTGAGGTTGACATCTATCAAAAAATTATTTGAATTTTTCTGAGAACTATTAATCTTTGAATCCTTTTCTGTTGTTTATCTTTTCCTTCTTCATTTCTAAAAGTTCCTATACAGAGAGATTCACCCGTTATCTGTGATATGATTACAAATGTCTGCCCTCCAATTTGTTATATGTCTTTAGATCCAAATACCTTATTTTTTGCCATGTAGAAATTTTTAATTTGTATGTGATAAAATGTTAATACTTTATGGATTCTGGATTTTCAGAAATAAAAAGGTCATCCTCACTTCCAGGTTTTAAAGAAATTCTTTAATGTTATTTTATGTTTTTGTATGGTTTTATTTTATTTTATTTTATTTTATTTTATTTTATTTATTTATTTATTTTTTTGAGACGGAGTCTCGCTCTGTCGCCCAGGCCGGACTGCGGACTGCAGTGGCGCAATCTCGGCTCACTGCAAGCTCCGCCTCCCGGGTTCACGCCATTCTCCTGCCTCAGCCTCCCGAGTAGCTGGGACTACAGGCGCCCGCCACTGCGCCCGGCTAATTTTTTTTGTATTTTTAGTAGAGACGGGGTTTCACCTTGTTAGCCAGGATGGTCTCGATCTCCTGACCTCATGATCCACCCGCCTCGGCCTCCCAAAGTGCTGGGATTACAGGCGTGAGCCACCGCGCCCGGCCTAGTTTTATTTTTATTCACATTAAAGTTTTTGTCTTATTTGGAATTTATTTTGGTATGTGATGTGGGAAATGAATCTAACTTTATTTTTTCATATATCTTCCTAGTTGTCCAAACATCAACATTGTTGAAACATCTCATCTGTCCCCTTGATGTGAGATGGCATCCTAATTTCCTTTACTTAGAGGGGTGGTGTCTGGGGATGAGATCACCTGGGGTGTAATCATACGTCTTTGACTGGGAGTGGGGCTGAAAAGGAGTTCCCATGTTCCTGGTCATGTGACGTGTGATCATGTGATGTGGAGATCTCCTGTGACATGGAGCTGGAGGAGGGAATAGGAACTAGCTCTGGCTCAGAGGGCACAGACTTCCACTGTTTTATCAACATTTAGGAGATTTTCTTGAATAAATGCTTATTAATTTGCATCTGCCCTTAGGTCAATTTCCAGAGACTTTAAGTGTGTTTTATAATTTTTACCAGTTAAACGGTTGTTTCACTGCGGGGAAAAGAGTATCCCAAGCTCCTCTCCTCTGGAAATCTGATCAAATTCTTTTTCAAGTCCTTCAGTAATGGTTAATTATATATGTGTATATCATATTTACATTTATATTTATTGATATAACAGTTATGCTTGGTGTTTCATGCGTATATGATAGCATCTTATGTGTTCATAAATTTTAAAAGTTGTTTTCTATGTGATCTGATTTATTTGCTTGAGAAAAACTTTTTTCTGGTAGCTTCGTCTGGGAACTTGCTCAGTGGTAATTTTTTAAATGACAGCTTTATGCAGTATTTTTATGATCTCTTCATTTACCCAGGAGTGATTACTTCTCTATTTTCCGCTGTGTTAAAACTAGGTGTTTTCTCTTTCTACTCCCTTCCAGGCCTCTCACTACTAGAATTCGGTCAATGAGAGTATCCGTGGCATGTTATTTAGTATTTGTTATTTTGCTATTACATACGCTTCTATTTCTAACATTTGATTTACTGCTTTGAATGATCCACTTTGAGTCCTGGCTGTTACAGCTGAGTTGACCAAGTCCTCCTCCTCAGACCCCCACCTGTGTGTGTGCACATCGTGTCTCTCAGCTCTGGAGCTGCAGATGATGTCAGGGTCTCAGCAAACAAGACCCCTCAAAGTTGAAAACTGTACAAACATCGTATGCAGCAGCCTTGATCTACCCTATGTCTTCCATTCTTTCCTCCTTCTTCTTCCACTTTTTGTTAGTTTCGATATTGGTTTATTTCCAGGGCATATGGCATTTATATGCATTTTATTACCCTGGTTCTCATGTTTATTTTAGTTTTAGTCAACACAATTCACAATTATAATATTTCACCATAGTTTTTCCTTAGTTATCTCTTTGTTGGCTAAAGTTTGTTCTCTGGGACTTTTCCCAAGTAGGAAAATATTCCCTGAGTTTGTGTGTATTTAAAACTGCCTGAAGTATACTTTGAAATGTAGCCTGACTAGGTATAAAACCTTTGGTTTTCATTCCACTTTTTGAATATCTTGTAAGTAATGGGCCACTGTATCTTGGCATTAAATTTTGCTAGGAAAAAATATGAGACTAGCCTGTTACATTCTCTTTTTTAAGAGCGGCTTGATTAAAGGATCTTTTCCTTAATGTTTCTTTAAAACTTTGTAGGGTGTTCTTAGTGTTTCCTTTTCTGTGGAACCTAATTTTATTCTGGAAAAGTTTTGTTGAATCAGTTCTTAAAGGGATTCATGCTCTTTCAATGCTGTCTTTTTTTTTTTCTTTCCATACCTTCCTTTTTTGATATATTTTAGATTGTCTCTGCTTATCTTCTATAGCCACTGTTTTCCCTCTAATAATTTTTAGATTTTCCCTTTAATTTTACTGTATTTACTTTTACTTTTTTATTTATATTTTCTATGTTCCTTACTGAGTTTTCTAAAGTCTGTTTTAATTTCTCTACTTCTTCTAGGTTCACCTTCGTTTCTATGAAGATCTTGGTTTTTCTTCATGTTTGCTGGTTTTTGTCAGCACATTTTTTTTATTCTAACGTTTCACCGCTTCTTTCTCTGAGTTCTTATATTTCTGCTTCATGGTCTTCCATTTTTGATCTGACAGCTCCATTAAGTTTTCATTTCATGGCAAAATATTTGGGTAACATTTTCATCTTGCTTTTGGCATTGATTTTTGTTGTGTGATCTTTCTCCATTGATAAGTTTGCATTTTTCCCCATAGTTTTTTCTTATAGTGTCTTTACATAAATCAATAATTATTAATTACTGAATTAATTGAAATGTTTTGAACCAATAATTTGTGAAAAGTTTCTATGAAGAAGAAAGGAGGAGGCAAAGTTGTCTTGCAAACTTAGCAACCCAACAATCTTCTCCTTCACCACCATAGAGTTAGATGGCTTCTGCAGATATGGCTAAATCTTCTCCTTCACCACCATAGAATTAGATGGCTTCTGCAGATACAGCTAAGTCTTCTCCTTCACCACCGTAGAATTAGGAGGCTTCTGCAGATACGGCTAAATCTTCTCCTTCACCACCATAGAATTAGATGGCTTCTGCAGATACGGCTAAATCTTCTCCTTCACCACCGTAGAATTAGATGGCTTCTGCAGATACAGCTAAGTCTCTTTCACCACCATAGAATTAGGTGGCTTCTGCAGATATGGCTAAGTCTTCTCCTTCACCACCATAGAATTAGGTGGCTTCTGCAGATATGGCTAAGTCTTCTCCTTCACCACCATAGAATTAGGAGGCTTCTGCAGATATGGCTAAATCTTCTCCTTCACCACCGTAGAATTTGGAGGCTTCTGCAGATATGGCTAAATCTTCTCCTTCACCACCATAGAATTAGATGGCTTCTGCAGATACGGCTAAATCTTCTCCTTCACTACCGTAGAATTAGATGGCTTCTGCAGATACAGCTAAGTCTCTTTCACCACCATAGAATTAGGTGGCTTCTGCAGATATGGCTAAGTCTTCTCCTTCACCACCATAGAATTAGGTGGCTTCTGCAGATATGGCTAAGTCTTCTCCTTCACCACCATAGAATTAGGAGGCTTCTGCAGATATGGCTAAATCTTCTCCTTCACCACCGTAGAATTTGGAGGCTTCTGCAGATACGGCTAAATCTTCTCCTTCACCACCATAGAATTAGGTGGCTTCTGCAGATATGGCTAAGTCTTCTCCTTCACCATCATAGGATTTGGTGGCTTCTGCAGATACGGCTAAGAGCTTAACAACCCAACAGTCTTCTCCTTCACTGCCATAGAATTCAGTGGCTTCTGCAGATACACCTAAGTCATCGGCTCTTTGTAGAGCATCACCTTCTCTGAGTGAAACTGGGTCCAGAAAGTCTTCGATGACCTCGGTCCATAGAGGTTCTGAATCCATTATTACAAACAAAGAATACAACTTTTATATTTCAGAGTCCCTGGCCTTCAGCCCTTTCTGAAATCAGCCACCACTGTGCCTTTAAGCCATCACTGTGCTTTTCTTCCTTTGGTCTTCCATGGCTTGCTTGATTTCAGCTGTTTAGAGTCTCTATATGTACTTTTGAGTCTATGGTCCATTTCTATTTACTCCTAGTTCAACTTAAAATGAAATTGTATTTTAAAATATATTCTTGCTGTTTTTAGTATTATTTTCAGGAAGAGTAGTGAGCAATGCTGTTTATTCAACTCTGGTCATACCATGTCCCCTGATTGTATTCTATTCATGCATCTCTAATAGAGCTCCTAGACTTTTCCAAGGCTTATATTGAAGTGACTTAATACATGTTTGTCAATGTTTCCTACATTTTCTACTCTTCATATGTCTCATATATGATGCTTCAGTAGGAGTCCCCAGTGTTTGGGGGACTCCTACTCTTTTGGAGTAGCCAAACTCTGAATGTATAATATTTATTTTCCCCTGCTTCCATCAGTGGTAGTAGACACCCTGGAGGGTCTAATTGCAAGCATAACCACCCAACAGTTCTCTCCTTTAGTTTAGAGCCCTGTAGTCAGTGTTGGCTAGTAAGTTGTCGTGGAGCACCCAGAGTGGACACTTCAACAGGGTCTGGTAGTCAGTGCTGGCCAGTAGGTTGTCGTGGGGCACCCAGAGTGGACACTTTGACGTGGTCTGGGAGCAGAGCATTATGTCCACTCTTGAATGATAGCTGGGACACGTTGGACGATGGAACCAACAGAATCACAGGCTTCATGGATGACCTGGGATTTTCCTGCATTCAGTCGGTAAAAAGTGTGAAGAGTATTAAGTCCCTCTGAGATTGAGAGGGAACATAATTTTAAGAACAACTGGCATCAGATCGTTTATTCATTTTACTTGACAAGAATTTACAAACATCTTTAATATGTGCCACAACCATGGACTAATATAAAATAGAATACAAATGCACAAAAGAGAACAGAAAAGTGGAAAATGCCAAGTAACACACAGAGTAAAATTACTGGCCGGGCACAGTGGCTCATGCCTGTAATCGCAGCCCTTTGGGAGGCCGAGGCAGGTGGATCAGCAGGTCAGGAGTTCGAGACCAGTCTGACCAACATGGTGAAACCCTGTCTCTACTAAAAATACAAAAAAATTAGCCGAGCATGGTGGCGGGCGCCTATAATCCCAGCTACTCAGGAGGCTGAGGCAGGAGAATCACTTGAACCTGGGAGGCAGAGGTTGCAGTGAGCCGACATTGCACCACTGTACTCCAGCCTGGGCAACAGAGAGAGACTCCATCTCAAAAAAAAAAAAAAAAAAAAAGTACTTGAGAGGATATGAAAAACTGTTCCCCAGAGGTGGCATAATTTGGAAGTCATAGTGTATGTTGGTGTCAAGGAAATAAGTGAGTTCTTTTTTTTAAAGAAAGATGTTTTGTTTTGTTTTGTTTTGTTTTAAAGAGAACAAGGTTCATTAACAATATGCAAAACAGATGAAATGCAGTCAATAACGCTATGAAAAATCACTTTCTCTACAGAATGCGAAAGCATCAATAACATTTTAGCCTTTATTTTGCTGTTTAGTAGAGAATTATCACTATAGTGTTTTCACTAGTTATCAGCATCTTAAGGGAAGTACTTATGTGTGTTGTACCTTTTGAAAACTGGAATCATAGAATGCTTTAAATTATTGTATTAAAAATTGAAGTGATGATAACTATTCAGCTGGAATGTCAGGAAAATGTTGAAAATGACCAAGAGTTTACCAGGAAAAGGCTGCAAGGTAGCATCTGGTCATACCTTTAAATGACAGACAAACACAGACACATACACACAAAAGCAACATTTAAGTAGAGGAAACTTGTTAGTGCTCATGTGTTTAGAGTAAGTACAATGAGTCGGATTAGTGCTTTCCATTGTGATGACCTCATTTGTGCTTGGAGCCACTTGGGAGGATTCTGTCAGCTTCATCCCGGCACCGACTAGCACTGCACAGCGTAGAAGGCACAAGGACTGAAAAGGTCATGTCTTTCTGCTCGGAAAGCTTGAATGGTTATAGAGTGTAGAGGGCCCATGCAAAACGCTCATTATCTGCTGTGTCTCTTGTTTTCAAAATTCTTTATCAGGTTACTGGCAATAAAATGCTGTTCCCTTTGGTTACCAGACAATGAGGCATTTATACCAGCAAGTCACCTGAGAACACAGCAGCCAACATTAATGAGTTGAAAGTACCACTGGGACAGTGAAGAATTGACAAGACTGCTGGCCTGCTGATCTTGTTTATCTTGCCTTTTTTTTTCTTTTTCAAGGTTTATTTGTGGAAAGTCTGTTTTCGTTGCTTATGTGCTCATCTGTGCTGCTTTAAAATGCCTTCGTGGTGGCAGAGAGTAATCAGCATATAGAGTCTGGAAACCAACTTTTAAATTTTATTAATGAGCTGAGTTTAGTTCCCCTTTATCTTTTAACTGACTCCAGGAGCATTAATGAAAAGTATATAAATATGAATACAGGTGTAGTAATAAAAAAGAATTATCAGTCACCCTTAATTTAATTGGTGTCACCTTAGCCTTTAGAAGGGTAATAGGATAGTATTGCCACCTGCAATCATTCAAGACTATTTTACTCACTACAGTAATTAGCTCACTTTAAAAAATTAGGTGACCTTTCAAAAGTGAGTAAAATAGAATCCGGTGAGAACCGTTAAGACACGTTTGTGAATATAGCATTGGTAGAATATCATAGATATTTAGGGTTTCGAGCGACCTGTGGTCATTTTGTGCAACTTCTGTTTATGAAAGAATCTCTTGAAACACTCTTTTCGTGCACGGAGTTACTAGGCATCTAGCAACTGGAGGTTATATCAATGTGTCAGATACTCCACAGTCTCTCTTCCAATATTACGTGCAAAATACCCTGTAGACTAGGAAGCATGTTTGATCTTCTTGGTTATAGGTGCAATTTATTCAACCAGCTTTCGTCTATGTGCATTGAATTCCATTATGACTACTTTTGGCATGGAGACAAACACAAAACATGGCCTCTGAAGAGAGTGTATGCTGGGATTTGGGATAAGGCATATAAAGAATAACTTTACTAAAAAGCTGAATATTACATCATATGAGTTAAACACTCTTGCCAAGAATTATCAGTAACCATAACAGCTGATGAAAGTGGATGTAACTGCAAATCAAACTAGTGGGCATCTCTTGTTTCTTAGCAAAATTTTCCACATTAAAGAAACGCTTAAAACGATATTTTTACTTGTAAGATACACAAGAGACATATTTGATTTAGGAGACATTCAGAGCAGTTTTCTGCCTTTGTTGCATATGTACATCAAAGTGCTTTAGTGATAGTTGCAATTTTGGTAGTTATCTGCCACGTTAGAAATGAATCCAAACTAGCATATTTTGACCTTTCAATTTAATTGCCACAAAGCAAAATTCACTAGTATTCAGTGCCTCCCATCAAGCGGAAATCCAAAGCACGTTTTCCCATTAAGGAGACTCCTTTTCTCACAGATAGCAAATTTCCTAATGAGGAGAGAGCTGATTGAAGGACCATGATGATGAGCCAATGATAGGTGTTATTGACCTTTCTTGAAAGAGCTTGACTTCTGAACATTTTTTGAACTTATACTTGAGATACAGTAGATTTGATATCACACATTATAATGGATGGTTTTCTGATAGGACCTGACCATTTACTAGCCTACATCCTTCTAGTTTTCTACATAAACTCTCTACTGCAGCAACTAATGATAATTATTATTATGGTTGCTAACATTTGCTGATCTTATTGTTTTCTAGGCACTGTGCTGAGAACTTCATATCCATTTATTTCATTTTATCTTGAGAGGTGACAGCGTGCTGGCAGCCCTCGCAGCCCTGGCTCGCTCTCTGTGCCTCCTCAGCCTTGGCGCCCACTCTGGCCATGCTTGAGGAGCCCTTCAGCCCGCCACTGCACTGTGGGAGCTTCTTTCTGGGCTGGCCAAGGCTGGAGCCGGCTCCCTCAGCTTGCAGGGAGGTGTGGAGGGACAGACACAGGCGGGAACCGGGGCTGTTCACGGTGCTTGAGGGCCAGCACGAGTTCCCGGTGGGCGTGGGCTCGGCGAGCCCCGCACTCAGAGCCACCAGCCTGCCCACAAGCCCCGGGCAGTGGGCTTAGCACCTGGGCCACCAGCTGCTGTGCTCGACTTCTTGCTGGGCCTTAGCTGCCTCCGGCAGGGCAGGGCTTGGGACCTGCAGCCCACCATGCCTGAGCCTGCCTCCCCCGCCGCACCCCCACATGGGCTCCTGTGCAGCCCGAGCCTCCCCGACAAGGGGCGCTCCCTGCTCCAGGGCTGTGCCTAGTCCCATCGACCGCCCAAGGGCTGAGGAGTGCGGGCTCATAGTGCGGAAGTGGCGGGCAGCTCCACCTGCGGCCCTGGTGCAGGATCCACTGGGTGAAGCCAGCTGTGCTCCTGAGTCTGGTGGGGACTTGGAGAATCTTTATGTCTAGCTAAGTGATTGTAAATACACCAATCAGCACTCTGTATCTAGCTCAAGGTTTGTAAACACACCAATCAGCACCCTGCGTCTAGCTCAGGGTTTGTGAATGCACCAATCAGCACTCTGTATCTAGTTAATCTGGTGAGGACTTGGAGAACCTTTATGTCTAGCTAAGGGATTGTGAATGCAACAATTGACACGCTGTATCTAGCTCAAGGTTTGTAAATGCACCAATCAGCACTCTGTCTAGCTCAGGGTTTGTAAATACACCAATCGACACTCTATCTAGCTAATCTAGTGGGGATGTGGAGAACTTTTGTGTCTAGCTCAGGGATTGTAAACGAACCAATCAGCACCCTGTCAAAACTGACCAATCAGCTCTTTGTGAAACAGACCAATCGGCTCTCTGTAAAATGGACCAATCAGCAGGATGTGGGTGGGGCCAGATAAGAGAATAAAAGCAGGCTACCCGAGCCAGAAGCTTCAATCTGCTGGGGTCCCCTTCCACACTGTGGAAGCTTTGTTCTTTTGCTCTTTGCAATAAAGCTTGCTACTGCTCACTCTTTGGGTCCACACTACCTTTATGAGCTGTAACACTCACCGTGAAGGTCTGCAGCTTCACTCCTGAAGCCAGCGATACCAGGAGCCCACCAGGAGGAACGAACAACTCTAGACACACTGCCCCAAGAGCTGTAACACTCACCGCGAAGGTCTGCAGCTTCACTCCTGAGCCAGCAAGACCACAAACCCACCAGAAGGAAGAAACTCCCAACACATCTGAACATCAGAAGGAACAGACTCCAGACACGCCGCCTTTAAGAACTGTAACACTCACCTTGAGGGTCTGTAGCTTCATTCTTGAAGTCAGTGAGACCAAGAACCCACCAATTCTGGACACAATCTTATACCACAGAACTGTAAGTTCTATTCTTCTTCCAGTTTTACAAAACAGAAACAGACAAACAAACAGAGGTAATTCTCTGAAAGATGTCTCTCTCAGTCCATTTCTGCTGCAATGTACCTTAGACTAGGTAATTTATAAAACAACAGAAATGTATTGCTAGTAGTTCTGGAGGCCAGAGGTCCAAGCTCAAGGCAGCAGTAGAATCGGTGCCTGCTGAGGGCCCATGCATCATGGATGGATTCTTCTGTATGTCCTCATATGGCAGCAGTAGACTCGGTGCCTGCTGAGAGCCAATTCATGGATGGAGTCTTCTGTATGTCCTCATATGGCGGCAGTAGAATTGGTGCCTGCTGAGGGCCCATGCATCATGGATGGAGTCTTCTGTATGTCCTCATATGGCAGCAGTGGACTCGGTGCCTGCTGAGGGCCCATTCATCATAGATGGAGTTTTCTCTATGTCCTCATATGGCAGAAGAAACAAGCAAGCTCTCTCAGACATTTTTATAAGGGTACTAAACCCATTCATGAAGGGTCCACCCTTATGACCTGGTCACCTCCTAGAGACCCCACCTCTTAATGTTATTGCATTGGGAATTAGGTTTCAATGTATGAATTTTGGAGGAATGCAAACATTCAGATCAGATCTGTTTGACCTCACAGCCAAAACTGGCAGTGGAATTTGCATGTTGCTCCTGGAACATATCTAGTAATTTTCCGTCTCTATACATTTGCTATGCTGTTTCCTCTATACTGAATGATCCATACTATCCGTTTAACTTTGTATCTTTAAAGGCTTGTGTGTGTGCCCATCTATTTTGGTGAGGTTGTTACCAAAACACCATGGGTTTGGTCTAAGTCCTGCTGCTCACTGCACAGAAAGCCAATCACTGAGATGGTGAGTGTTTCCAGGGAAGAAGCTTTCATCTGGTGCTGCAGCTGAGGAGATGGGAGCTCAGCCTCAAATCCATCGCCCTGACTGACTAAAAATGGGGTTTTATACAACAGGCAAGAAATGTAACAATGTGTAGGAAACACGAACTAGGGAGGAACAAGGAGGTCTCATCTGGTGAGTTTCAGTTCTTTAATGCTTTTTTTTTTTTTTTTGGAGAGGCCTGAAGGTCCTTTCCTGAGGAAAGAACTCAGATGAAACAAATACAAGTTTCAAGCTTTAAGAGCGGAAGAGTCAATGTCTATGTTTATACAAAAGAACACGCTGTGGGAGTATTGGGCCTGCTTCAAGGTCAGTAGGATTATTCCAGAATTACACACATCGTTTATAAGCCCCTGAGTCTAACCAGTGTTTTGAGTTTTTCACTTATCTTATGTGTAGCCAGCACGCATGTAACATGAAAACATCAATTACATGTGTGTGCTTTTGCCTCTTGTTAATTTTTGTTGCTGTTGTTTTTTCAATTTAATTCACAGGCTCCAGCACAACATGTAAGATGGGATAGGAAAAGCTTTTTTCCTACCCAACAGAATGCTGAAAATGTAAATATTTTTTCTTTGGTTTACAGTAATAAGGAGTGTGATTCCTTTTTTTTTTCTACCTCTTCTACTTCTACGTTTTAAGAGCTCTGTAGCTTAGTGAGCTCCCAGGCTTATGAACACCGTGACACAACTAGTCTTGAAATGTTGCCAGCATTGTAGGATTTGCATACTTAACATGCTTATACTGCCATAAAGTATGTAAGGTGGAAAGGATATTGTCTTTTAGTGTGGGTACATAGAGCATGGCACGACTTGTTGCCAGCCTCACATCACATCTGTCTTCTGCTTTTATACTTTATATCCAGGGTCATGCAGTCAATTTTAGACATTTTAAAAAATCTTATTTCTATATTACTAAATTATTCATGGAGCCCGACTCTTCTAAGTTACTCTGGGAAAATGCCTTAGGCCTTCCAAGGACACAAAATTTTCATTCTTATAAAAAGCATTTGGCTAGGAATCAGAAGACCTACATTTTCATTCAAGAACTGGTACTAGTTTGTGTTGTGATTTTAGGCAGATCCATTATTGTCTCTAAGCCACAATGTCCTGAACTCCAAAACCATAGCATTGGCCTAGATGGTTTCTTAGGCCTCTCTTTGTGTCAGGAATTGGTGAGTTCTTGGTCTCACTGACTCCAAGAATGAAGCCACGGACCCTCGCAGTGAGCGTTACAGTTCTTAAAGGCGGTGTGTCCGGAGTTTGCTCCTTCCTCTTGTCTGGAGTTGCTCATTCCTCCTGGTGGGTTCGTGGTCTGGCTGGCTCAGGAATGAAGCTGTAGACCTTCGCGATGAGTGTTAGAGCTCATAAAGGCAATGTGGACCCAAAGAGTGAGCAGAAACAAGATTTATTGCAAAGAGCAAAACAACAAAGCTTCCACAGTGCAGAAGGGGACCCTAGCAGGTTACCACTGCTGGCTCAGGCAGCCTACTTTTATTCCCTTATCTGGCCCCACCTACACCTTGCTGATTGGTCCATTTTACAGAGAGCTGATTTGTCTATTTTACAGAGAGCTGATTGGTCCATTTTGACAGGGTGCTGATTGGTGCATTTGCAATCCCTGAGCTAGACACAAAAGTTCTCCAAGTCCCCACTAGGTTAGCTAGACACAAAGCACTGATTGGTGCATTTACAAACCTTGAGCTAGACACAGGTTGCTGATTGGTACATCCACAATCCCTTAGGGAGACACAAAGATTCTCCAAGTCCCCACTAGACGCAGGAGAGGGTTTAGAAAGTGCAAAGGCCTTATACCTGGGAAAAAGGAAAGACAAAGGGGTGGAAGGAAAAGCAGTGGCTGAAGCACAGTGGCTCATGAAAGACGAGACTGGATAGAATAGGAGCAGGTCCTCGGGCCTGGAGGATATCTTCAGACATTTGTGCCTTATCCAAAGAGAAATGGCAAGACACGGACGATGTGAAAGCCAGGGGCTGTCCTCCAGACCATGAGACCTCAGCCAGCTGCCGCCCAGAGCCAAGTTGCTGCTTTGTGTGCAGCTCTCTCCAAGTGTGGAAGAGCAGATGGGGTGTTTTTACTTCCGCCCCAAAACTTACACATTTCACTAAAATATTCCTACTCCATGCTTAGCAATGAGAAACCTTCTCTATGCCATTCTTATCCTTTTGAAATGATACCAGATGCCAAGAAACACCACAGGAGTAGGGCAAAGAAGTTGAGCTTCAAGGGCAGATGTAGTCTAAGTGTCAGCTGTACCACAAATTGTGACAATAAGCACATCACCAGGCTTCTTATTTTACTCCCTCTTCCGTGCAATGAGGCAGCTTGACTCTGGGGCTGGAAATAGTTCTCTCCTCAAGGTGGAGGCAAACGGAGTATCGGACAAATTGATAATCCACACAATCCAAATTGTAATTAGTATAGTCTTTCTCTGGTTATTGAGACAAGTTTTTCACGTGAGCTTAGCTTCTGCTTAGCATTTTAACTGTGGGAGAGGGAAAAGTCCTTGAAAGTCCTGTGACTCATTGGTAAAATAAGAACGTACTAATGAAATATGAGAAACATCGAAATAAATTAAAAGACATTAAAAATCTATTGTGTATCCTGCACTCCAAAGTCATTTTTAAATGGTAATTACACCTTTGAAGAGCATCTAATTAGTATGAAAAGAACTTTGGATGAATGTGGAGCTCTTCATCTGACTTCAGTTGATACACAGTGATAATATTCAAGACCAATTTCTGCAGCTTTTATCGCCTGACTGAGCATTGCTCTGTTTCTGAAGTTTAAAGGGATTTTCTAATCTTTTGCTTATCAGAGGCTGAGCAAAGACCTGTCATGGTTTATGGAGGTAAAAGAGAGGAGGTACAAGTATTTTTAAGTGCCCTGTGGAAAGTGCTGTCAAGTCCAGGCTGTGTCAAGCTCATGCTTTGTGGTGAAACAGGGATCTAAGCCACAAACTCCTGAAAAGAAAGTTTCTAGTCCCTTTTTGTCTGGGTCATTCAGGAGCATCGAGACTGACACACCTGGTAAGACTCCTGTTCTTCATCCCTGTCATCAGTCATGTAACACTCTTAGTGCTCACTGTGTGCCTGGCTCCGTGTTAAGTGCTATTTCAGTGAAATGTTAGCACTGTAAAATGGTTTCAGAAAAAGGCATTTGTGGTCACTCTCAAGTAAATGCCCAAATGGTCTAACTAGCTTATTAAGCAGGATCACTCATTAAAATCTATGAGATTTGCATAAAATGCACTCTGCAGCACCGCTCTCACAGACACAATGGCAACAGCCCTTTGAACTAAGGCCGTAAGTTTCCTTAATGGGTTACATCAAAATTTAATGGCCCAGAGCTGGGCCACTTAGGTTTACTACCTGGACAGATGTGTTGAATGCTGCTAATGGGAAGACTGTAAGGTACTGGCTGTATGATACCCTGCCTTTAAATTCTGTAATGGATACAGATGCCATTGGTTAACAGTTTTTATTTCTTCCTTAACAAAAAGGGTTTTATAATAAGCAAGTCAACGATTTTTCTTCGGCAAGGACTTCAAGTACATTTCTGACCTCATCTCCCACTCTCCCTCTGTCCTTTCCATGAACGCCACGCTGGCCTCCTTGATGCTCCTCGAAAATGCCAAGCTCCTCGGGGCCACTGTATTTGTGCAGCCTCTCTTGGAACACTGTGTACATCTGGGCTCTTGGAGCAGCAAACACCGGAATGGTATTTGCCACTCAAGAGATTATTTGGGAGAAGTGCATGTGGAGGAAAATGAGAAGGGGCTGCAGGGGGCTGGGCAGGCAAAGTCTTAAAATGCAGTGCAATTCTGAGAAACTTTTGGCAAGGCTGGTAGTAGAACCCTCCAGCCCAGGCTGCCCAGCAGAGGAGTCTTTCATCTCCTCGCAGCAGGCCTGCCTTTATACTCCACCATGGTGGGTTACCGGCTGACAGTGGTAGATTTCAGGGCGGCAGCTGGCTGTTGGCCAGCCGCTAACAGTCACCAGCCCCTAGGGGCCACGAGATTTGACAAGCCCCTTCCCAGGGCCACCACGAGCTCTCTTGGTCTACAGTTCTCAGGACTGCTTCTCGTACGTTTAGCTTCTGTTAAATATCCCCTCTGTGGGGTCTGCCCTGTTCATCCCATGTAAACATATAAATAGCAACCCCTTCATTTCCCCTCACCTTCTACCCCATGTCAGTTACTGTTATCTGCTTTGTTTATTCATTGCATCAAGATACAACATACAGTCATCTGTCGATATTCATGAGAAATTGGATCCAGGACCTCCCCCAGATACCAGAATCCCTAGACGCTCAAGTCCCTGATATGCAGTTGTGTAGTATTCAGCGTAGACTATGCACATTCTCCCTATACTTTAAATCATCTCTAGATTACTGGTAACACCTACTACAATGTAAATGCTATGCAAATCGTTGTTACACTGTGTCATTTAGAGAATAATAAAAAGAAAAACTTTGTATATGTTCAATACAGTTTAAAGGGCTTTTTTTGCAAATATTTTTGACTCGTGGCTGCTTGAATCAGCACATGCACAAATCACAGATACAAAGGACTAACTGTATGTTTCCTTGTTGATGTCACGTGACCTCGCTTTAGTAACAGATAGAAGGTCTGTGTTTCCTTGTTGATGTCGCGTGAGCTCCCTTTAGTAACAGACAGAAGGACTGTGTTTCCTTGCTGATGTCACGTGAGCTCCCTTTAGTAACAGATAGAAGGACTGTGTTTCCTTGCTGATGTCACGTGAGCTACCTTTAGTAACAGATAGAAGGACTGTGTTTTCTTGCTGATGTCACGTGAGCTCCCTTTAGTAACAGATAGAAGGACTAAGTGTGTTTCCTTGTTGATGTCACGTGAGCCCCCTTTAGTAACAGATAGAAGGACTGTGTTTCCTTGTTGATATCGCGTGAGCTCGCTTTAGTAACAGATAGAAGGACTAAGTGTGTTTCCTTGTTGATGTCACATGAGCTCGCTTTAGTAACAGATAGGACTAAGTGTGTTTCCTTGTTGATGTCACATGAGCCCCCTTTAGTAACAGATAGAAGGACTGTGTTTCCTTGCTGATGTCACGTGAGCTCGCTTTAGTAACAGATAGAAGGACTAAGTGTGTTTCCTTGTTGATATCACGTGAGTTCGCGTTAGTAACAGATAGAAGGACTGTGTTTCCTTGTTGATGTCGCATGAGCTCGCTTTAGTAACAGAAGGACTAAGTGTGTATCCTTGTTGATGTCACGTGAGCCCCCTTTAGTAACAGATAGAAGGACTGTGTTTCCTTGTTGATGTCGCGTGAGCTCACTTTAGTAACAGATAGAAGGACTAAGTGTGTTTCCTTGTTGATGTCACATGAGCTCGCTTTAGTAACAGATAGAAGGACTAAGTGTGTTTCCTTGTTGATGTCACGTGAGCCCCCTTTAGTAACAGAAAGAAGGACTGTGTTTCCTTGTTGATGTCGCGTGAGCTCGATTTAGTAACAGATAGAAGGACTAAGTGTGTTTCCTTGTTGATGTCACGCGAGCTCGCTTTAGTAACAGATAGAAGGTCTAAGTGTGTTTCCTTGTTGATGTCATGTGAGCTCGCTTTAGTAACAGATAGAAGGACTAAGTGTGATTCCTTGTTGATGTCACGTGAGCTCGCTTTAGTAAAAGATAGAAGGACTAACTGTGTTTCCTTGTTTATGCCACGTGAGCTCCCTTTAGTAACAGATAAGACTGTGTTTCCTTGTCGATGTCGCATGAGCTCGCTTTAGTAACAGATACAAGGACTAACTGTGTTTCCCTGTTGATGTCGCGTGAGCTCGCTTTAGTAACAGATAGAAGGACTAAGTGTGTTTCCTTGTTGATGTCGCGTGAGCTCGCTTTAGTAACAGATAGAAGGACTAACTGTGTTTCCTTGTTGATGCCACGTGAGCTCCCTTTAGTAACAGATAGAAGGACTAAGTGTGTTTCCTTGTTGATGCCACGTGAGCCCCCTTTAGTAACAGATAGAAGGACTCTGTTTCCTTGTTGATGTCATGTGAGCTTGCTTTAGTAACAGATAGAAGGACTAACTGTGTTTCCTTGTTGAAGTCACGTGAGCCCCCTTTAGTAACAGATAGAAGGACTAAGTCTATTTCCTTGTTGATGTCACGTGAGCTCACTTTAGTAACAGATAAGACTGTGTTTCCTTGCTGAGGTCACGTGAACTCCCTTTAGTAACAGATAGAAGGACTAAGTGTGTTTCCTTGTTGATGTCACATGAGCTCGCTTTAGTAACAGATAGGACTAAGTGTGTTTCCTTGTTGATGTCACATGAGCCCCCTTTAGTAACAGATAGAAGGACTGTGTTTCCTTGTTGATGTCACATGAGCTCACTTTAGTAACAGATAGAAGGACTAAGTGTGTTTCCTTGTTGATGTCACGTGAGCTCGCTTTAGTAACAGATAGAAGGACTGTGTTTCCTTGTTGATGTCGCATGAGCTCGCTTTAGTAACAGATAGCAGGACTAAGTGTGTTTCCTTGTTCATGTCACGTGAGCCCCCTTTAGTAACAGATAGAAGGACTGTGTTTCCTTGTTGATGTCGCGTGAGCTCGCATTAGTAACAGATAGAAGGACTAAGTGTGTTTCCTTGTTGATGTCACATGAGCTCGCTTTAGTAACAGATAGAAGAACTAAGTGTGTTTCCTTGTTGATGTCACATGAGCCCCCTTTAGTAACAGATAGAAGGACTGTGTTTCCTTGCTGATGTCGCGTGAGCTCGCTTTAGTAACAGATAGAAGGACTAAGTGTGTTTCCTTGTTGATATCACGTGAGTTCGCGTTAGTAACAGATAGAAGGACTGTGTTTCCTTGTTGATGTCGCATGAGCTCGCTTTAGTAACAGATAGAAGGACTAAGTGTGTATCCTTGTTGATGTCACGTGAGCCCCCTTTAGTAACAGATAGAAGGACTGTGTTTCCTTGTTGATGTCGCGTGAGCTCACTTTAGTAACAGATAGAAGGACTAAGTGTGTTTCCTTGTTGATGTCACATGAGCTCGCTTTAGTAACAGATAGAAGGTCTAAGTGTGTTTCCTTGTTGATGTCACGTGAGCCCCCTTTAGTAACAGGAAGAAGGACTGTGTTTCCTTGTTGATGTTGCGTGAGCTCGATTTAGTAACAGATAGAAGGACTAAGTGTGTTTCCTTGTTGATGTCACGTGAGCTCGCTTTAGTAACAGATAGAAGGTCTAAGTGTGTTTCCTTGTTGATGTCACGTGAGCTCGCTTTAGTAAAAGATAGAAGGACTAACTGTGTTTCCTTGTTGATGCCACGTGAGCTCCCTTTAGTAACAGATAAGACTGTGTTTCCTTGTCGATGTCGCATGAGCTCGCTTTAGTAACAGATACAAGGACTAACTGTGTTTCCCTGTTGATGTCGCGTGAGCTCGCTTTAGTAACAGATAGAAGGACTAACTGTGTTTCCTTGTTGATGTCTCGTGAGCTCCCTTTAGTAACAGATAGAAGGACTAACTGTGTTTCCTTGCTGATGTCACGTGAACTCCCTTTAGTAACAGATAGAAGGACTAAGTGTGTTTCCTTGTTGATGTCACGTGAGCTCGCTTTAGTAACAGAGAGAGGGACTAACTGTGTTTCCTTGTTGATGTCATGTGAGCTCGCTTTAGTAACAGATAGAAGGACTGTGTTTCCTTGTTGATGTCGCGTGAGCTCCCTTTAGTAACAGATAGAAGGGCTGTGTTTCCTTGCTGATGTCATGTGAACTCCCTTTAGTAACAGATAGAAGGACTAAGTGTGTTTCCTGGCTGATGTCACGTGAGCTCCCTTTAGTAACAGATAGAAGGACTGATTGTGTTTCCTTGTTGATGTCGCGTGGGCTCCCTTTAATAACAGATAGAAGGACAAACTGTGTTTCCTTGTTGATGTCACATGAGCTCCCTTTAGCAACAGATAGAAGGACTAACTGTGTGTTTCCTTGTTGATGTCACATGAGCTCCCTTTAGTAACAGAAGGAGTAAGTGTGTGTTTCCTTGTTGATGTCATGAGCTCGCTTGAGTAACAGATACAAAGGACTAAGTGTGTATTTTCTTGTTGTTGTCAGGTGAGCTTGCTTTAGTAACAGATAGAAGGACTAACTGTGTTTCCTTGTTGATGTCACATGAGCTCACTTTAGTAACGGATAGAAGGACTAAGTTTGTTTCCTTGTTGATGTCACGTGAGCTCCCTTTAGTAACAGATAGAAGGACTGTGTTTCCTTGTTGATGTCGCGTGAGCTCCCTTTAGTAACAGATAGAAGGACTAAGTGTGTTTCGTTTTTGATGTCACGTGAGCTCCCTTTAGTAACAGATAGTACTGTGTTTCCTTGCTGATGTCACGTGAGCTCCCTGTAGTAACAGATGGAAGGACTAAGTGTGTTTCCTTGTTGATGTCACGTGAGCTCCCTTTAGTAACAGATAGAAGGACTAACTGTGTTTCCTTGTTGATGTCTCGTGAGCTCCCTTTAGTAACAGATAGAAGGACTAACTGTGTTTCCTTGTTGATGTCGCGTGAGCTCGCTTTAGTAACAGATAAGACTGTGTTTCCTTGCTGATGTCACGTGAACTCCCTTTAGTAACAGATAGAAGGACTAAGTGTGTTTCCTTGTTGATGTCACGTGAGCTCGCTTTAGTAACAGATAGAAGGACTAAGTGTGTGTTTCCTTGTTGGTGCCACGTGAGCTCCCTTTAGTAACAGATAGAAGGACTAAGTGTGTATATATCAATGTATTAGCATAATATATTTATATTATGTATTAACATACAATATTATTTTATTATATGTTACATAACTAATTAACATGATTAAATAAATGCTGTGACTTTACCTGTATATCGAATTATCTAGACTCCTAGAAATATGGTTGCAGGATGAAGACTTTACCCTTGCTGAAATTTCTGTGCCTCTCCTCCCTGCTTCCAGAAAGGCAGTGTTGGAAAATGCCTGTCTCAATGCACACTCAACAGCACTGTTTTTTGTTTGTCTGTCGTTTTTTTGAGATGGAGCCTCATTCTGTTGCCCAGGCTGGAGTACAGCGGCCTGATCTCAGCTCACTGCAACTTCTGCCTCCCAGGTTCAAGCGATTCTCCTGCCTCAGCCTCCCAGGTAGTTGGGATCACAGGCGTGCACCATCATGCCCAGCTAATTTTTGTATTTTTAGTAGAGATGTGGTTTCACCATGTTGGCCAGGCTGGTCTCAAACTCCTGACCTCAGGTGATCCACCCGCTTTGGCCTCCCAAAGTGCTGGAATTACAGGTGTGAGCCACCGCACCTGGCCAGCAGCACAGTTTTTTAATCTCTATCATTTTGATATTTAAATATATTTGTATCTTGTCAATTTATTTGCACTTTTTATTATTTGTATTTATAATAGCTTTGTTGAGGTAAAATCAATATAAAAAACTACACATATTTAGTGTACAATTTGATAAGTTTGGACATATGCATACACTGATGAAACCATCATTAAAATCAAGATTCATTATTCATGCTTTTGAACCTAGGTTTCATTTTTTATCTACTTACTGTTTCTTTTGTAGTAAACTGTCCAGTACTTGACCAGTTTTTCTATAGAAAGGGCAGTGTTTTATATGGGAGGGGTAGCTTACATCTGTAATCCCAGCACTTTGGGAGGCCAAGGCAGGTGGATCACCAGGTCAAGAGATTGAGACCAGCCTGGCCAACATGGTGAAACCCCGTCTCTACTAAAAATACAAAAATTAGCCAGGCGTGGTGGCGGGCGCTTGTAATCCCAGCTACTTGGGAGGCTGAGGCAGGAGAATTGCTTGAATCCGGGAGGTGGAGGTTGCAGTGAGCCGAGATCGCGCCACTGCACTCCAGCCTGGGCGACAGAGCGAGACTCTGTCTCAAAAAAGGGCAGTGTTTTTATTAATGATTTCATGGTGTCAATTATACAGCTATATAGATACACACATGTGTTTGTGTATATAGTGAGTTGAATTGTCTCCCCTCAAATGATATATCCATCCGGAACCTGTGACTATGGCCTTATTTGCAAAACAAACAAACAAACAAACAAAGTCTTGCCAATGTTATAAAATTAAGGGTTTTGAAATGAGGTTATCTTGGATTATCCATGTGGTCCCTAAATCCAATAAGTGTCCTTATAAGACAAAGACAGACAAAGATTTGACACACACAGATGCACAGAGAAGGCCATGTGAAGACAGAGGCAGAGATTGGAGTGTTGCTGTCACAAACTACGGGACACTTGAAGCCACCAGAAGCTGGAGACGAGGAAGGGGCCTCCGTAGGGCCTCCAGAGGGAACACAGCCCTGCCAACACCTTGAGTTCAGACTTGGAGCTTCCGTGGCTGTGACTCTGTGAGAGAACCATTTCCAAATGTTTTGAGCCACCGAGCTTATGGCGCTTTGTTCCTGCAGCCCTAGGAAACTCTGTGAGTGAAGGTAATTGTGTGTTTCTGTATCTATCAGACTAGTCAACGTCAATGTGACTCAGTGTAATTTAACTTCACCGCCTCACATCCTTGCTGTCTGACCTAAAGATTAAAAATTCTCTCAGAACTTCTCTAGCTCTTGCTTCTATGTGGTAACTGCATTGAATTTTTTAGTACATCCCAAAAATTGAAAGATACATGGTAAGCCATGTATCTTTCCTGCCTGCCAGTTTGTCATTTTTCACATAATAAAGCAAGGTCACTCAAAGGTATTTTTTTCTTGTCTCGCTACTTGACACATTCAACCATGTTTATAAGCTCAAAGAAAAGAGATGGCCAGTTTGCTAAAATGAAAATATCATTCAATCCTGAAGATTTCATTCTTCCATAAAAATCGTCCTATGTAAAGATGACTAAGTATGATTTCAGGCATCACCTTTCATACAAGTCTTCTTCCCTAAGACCTATCCACTGCTCTTCTCCACTGTGGTTTTAATATTTTAATGTTTCCATAGCACTAGATTATGAGATCCATGAAATCAAGTATTGTGCCTCCCTGAGTCTCCAGGGTGCAGCCCTGGCCTTGGGACATAACCACTGCTTAGTAAGTGCTTATAAGATAAATCCTCAAAACCTTGAAATGAATTAAGTGCTTGTCCATTAAAACATCCCCCTACGTTGGGGGACTAAATTCAGACTACTATATAGTTAGGAAGAGCACAAATGCAAATACATGGGGTCATAGGTAATTTGTTTCTTCAAAGACCATGTAGACTTCTCTTTGGCAATTGCAAGGGAAATTCTATCAATCATAGTCCACACATGGATATAAGCCATAAGTAACTCTTTTCCATGCTTGCTTAGCACAAAGCCTTATATACTCTAGATTTGGGGTTATGTTTTTTTTTTACAGTAATATATGTAAAGCAATGTCACAAACCTGAGCACCTCACGCATGCAATTTAAACACTGGAAACCAACTATGTGGAGAGTATAGCAATGGTTTGACTCTGAGGTAAGAAGCACGGTGAAAGAACTGGAAATAAACCCTGCATCTGAGCTTTATGAAGAAGCGATTATAATCAATACCAAAATGAAAAAAAGAAACATCAACAGCTACTGTGAACCAAGGTCTTCACAGTTTTGCTTCTTTCCACTAATCTTCCGAAGAGGTTATTTTGAGACGATATGTTCAAAACACTATAAGCCATTCTTCTCCAAGAAGTGGTGACAATTACTTTGCTTCTTGCTTCCCACTCCTAAAAGGGAAATTTAATCAAGATTGTCAGTTCTTACAAGAAAAAGGGAAAACGCACACACACGTTCAAGCTCTACTTCTATAATCAAATAAAACCATCAAGAATTAATCAAAACTTGACTCGAAGCCCTTCCAGAACTGCAAAGCTCACATGGCATCCCAGAGATAGATGATACCATGATCTTTGATGTACACAGTGGAGCATTTGATAAAATGGTGATGTTTTTCTGCCATAAGTGGTATAATTACGCTATGCATCATATGCATCCATTTAATAATATCCCTGTTCACAGTCAGCCAGGCATTTCTCACAAGCTGGCATCTTCACAGGCCACTTGTTCTGCTGATTCCACTTTCTTCTGTAGCTGGGCAGGCTGCAGCCCCTGTTTTTTCCCTTACCAGGCAAACTAATGATCTAGTGCTTTCTTGCGTGTTGAGGTTAATAGATAACTAATATATTTCAGCACATTCATTATAGCCAGTTTTCCCCTAAGAAAAAATTGCACATTTGGGTCTTCTGCCTTGACAAATGTGGTGCTTCATCTTGAAAGTTGATTAAAATCAATACCTCTGTAGAAAATTACACGCAAAATGTATTAGTATCCAGTATATTCTGATAAGAATGCTTCTCATTCATAACTCTGATACCAACCCGCCCACCGCAAACAAAACAAAACAAAACAAAACAAAACAAAACAAAACAAAAAATAAAAGAAACACACACACACATGCTAAAACTGGATGTGAGCACTCATGGGAATAACAGTGTGTTTTTAACCAACAATAAAACTAAAAATTACTCATCAGTTAAACCATAGCTCATAATTTAGGAGAAGTTACATTTTGAAGTCCTGTTTTATCTCCAATTGAAATTTCAGAAGCCTCCAGAAATTCTATGGTATAAACTTTGCAATTTTAAAAATACATCATTTCAAAGCCAGCGGTCTGGAAGAAAATTGCCTATGCTAATGAACAAATATATAATTTTCACTAAACCATACAGCACACTTTCTTACATCAACTTTTTTCATCTCATCTCCTGATTCTCTCCCACAACCCATGTGTTAACCACACTTACCTTTTAACTTTTCTCCTAAAATATTAAGCCTTTTCCAAACAGTTTTGCTAGACAAAAATCCCTATTCATCTTTCAAGGTCTAGCTCAAGTGTTGCATAACTGTTGTTCAAGTTACTGAGGCTGTGTAACAAACAACCTCAAGACTCAGGTGCCTAGAACAAGCCCAGATTCTATCAGTCAGAGACTTGGACAGGACACAGCAGAAATGCTTGTATCCGCTCTGTCATGTGTGGCATTTCAGATGCAAAGATCCAAAGGCTGGAGGTGACCCAAAGGCTGTTGGTTGGAATCAACTGGAAACATCATTACTCACATGTCTGGTGGTTGATACTGGTTGTAGGCTGGGACCTCAGGTGGGGTTCTGATTTGAGAACCTTCATGTGGCCTCTCCATGTGGTCGGGCTTCCTCACAGTACGGGGGTCTTCGGGTATTCAGATTTTATACATGGTGGCTCGGGGCTCCTCAGTAAGTGAAGCAGATGCCACATGATCTTGTAAGAAAGGAAAACTTTTCCTCCATCCTCTTAGGTTCTGCAGCTTAATTTGTGAATTAAACTGACAAAAGAAGGACCAATGAATGAAGAGCATACAAATTTTATTTGTTGTTAATATTTTTATATGCATGGGAACTGCAGAGAAAGAACTAAAAAAATCCAAAGAAGTGGTTACACTTAGGAGCTTACCTACCATTTTAACAAAGTACGATAAATTGTGGGGAAGCAACCAAAGAAAAGGGGCTTGGGCTTCTAGGGGCATTAAATTGTAGGAAGGTAAATACATGGGAGAAACTATTATAGAAAAGGGTTATTTAGTTAGGTTTCTTTATGTAGAGTAATCTTGATGCTGTCTCCTCTTCTTGGTATGAGAACAAGGGGACACCTTTATAATGGAAATTTATTCCTTGCTTTTAAGCAGATAGAGGAAGGGTAAACAGCTCTTCTCGCATCTTCTTTTTCTCAATTGCCTTCAGCTTAAAATAAAAATTAAAAATTTAAAAAATAAAATTTATGCAAAAGTAACATATATTAGGGTTGTATATTCTGATACTCTTCAACATTTTCTGGTCTAGCCTCCAGAGTCATTCAACATCAGCATCACTTTCTCTACATTCTGTTGGTTATAAATAAGTCAAAGGACAAATAAGACAAAAAAGTATTTGTATTGTTAATACTGAGAGGTGACAACGTGCTAGCAGCCCTCACTGGCTCTCAGCAACTGCTCTGGCGGTGCTCCAGGAGCCCTTCAGCCCACCGCTGTGCTGTGGGGGCCCTTCTCTGGGGCTGGCGGAGGCCCGGCGGCTCCCTCTGCTCCCCACCAGGTGTGGAGGGAGAGGCACAGGTGGGAGCGGGGCTGTGCATGCTCGCGGGCCAGTGCTGGTTCCGGGTGGGTGCAGGCTCAGGAGCCCACACTCGGTGTGGCCGGCCGGTGCCTACTGGGCTGCCCCCTCTGGGCTGCTGGAGTACCCAGGCTAGGTGCCGCAAAGCCTCAGGGCAAGTGTCATTGAGAGGTGAAGCCAGCTGGGCTTCTGTGTCGGGTGGGGACTTGGAGAACTTTTCTGTTTAGCTAGAGGTTTGTAACCGCATCAATCAGCGCTCCGTGTCTAGCTAATCTGGTGGGGACTTGGAGAACTTTCCTGTCTAGCTAAAGGATTGTAAATGCACCAATCAGCGCTCTGTGTCTAGCGAAAGGTTTGTAAATGCACCAATCAGCGCTCTGTCAAAATGGACCAATCAGCTATCTGTAAAACGGCCCAATCAGCTTTCTGTAAAATGGACCAATCAGCTCTCTCTAAAATGAGCCAATGAGTAGGATGTGGGTGGGGCCAGATAAGGGAATAAAAGCAGGCTGCCCGAGCTAGCAGTGGCAACCGGCTAGGGTCCTCTTCCAGATTGTGGAAGATTTGTTCTTTTGCCTTTGGCAATAAATCCTGCTGCTGCTCACTCTTTGGGTCTGCACCGTCTTTGGCGGCTGCTGCTCACTCTTTGGGTCTGCGCTATCTTTATGAGCTGTAACACCGTGAAGGTCTGCACCTTCATTCCTGAAGCCAGTTAGACCACAAACCCACCAGAAGGAAGAAACTCTGGACCCATCTGAACATCTGAATGAACAAACTCTGGACACACCATCTTTAGGAACTGTAACACTCACCGCAAGGGTCCGTGGCTTCATTCTTGAAGTCAGTTAGACCAAGAACCCACCAATTCCGGACACAATACTATTGGATGTATGTTTGTTTGGTGTTTTCTTTGGTGAGTGAGTTTGTTTGTTTGTAACTGCTAAAAGAGTAGAGAGGAATGAGAGGGGGTTGAACTGCAACATCACAGAACACCTTAAGATGTAAGATTTAGGGTGTCTAATAGGCCATCTTAATTTGTTTGTGTTGCAACTGTCCCCGATATGGGAGTATTGAGAGGGGCATCCTTTAAGTGGTGATTGGATCACAGGGGTTATCCCCTTATGAATCAATCTACTCATGGATTAAAGAACTAATGGGTTAATGGATAAATGGGTTATCATGGGAGAGGAACTGGTGGCCTTATAAGAAGAAGAGAGATCTGAGCTAACACGCTAGCATTCTCGGCCCCCTTGCCATGTGGTTCTCTGAACCACCTTAGGGCTTTTCTGATTTCCCATCAGCGAGAAGGCCCTCACCAGCTGCAGACCCCCATCCTTGGATTTCTGAGCCTTCATAACTCTAAGAAATTAGCTTTTTAAAAATAAGTCACCTAGTTTCAGGTATTCTGTTATAAGCAACAGAAAAATGGACAAAGTATGTCTTAAGTAAATCTCACAATTGCCTGTACGGTAGATATAAATAAATATTATTACTCCTATTTTACAGAAGACAGAATCAGAGAGGCTCAGCAAATGCCAGAACTCAAATTCAAGCGCAACTCTGCCTGATGGAAACTCAGGTGATTTCCACTCTGCCTCCACCTGCATTCCTCAGCACCCTGCAGTTGGTCCCCAGACTCTATGCTCCATGCTGCTTGTGTTTGTTGGTTGGCTGGTTTCGTGTTCATGTGTTCTGGCTTCTTCATTTTGGGTCTTTACATCTTTACATCTCTATAGCAGTTCTTCCCATGTTGTGTAGCAGTTGTCTCTACGTGACAGTCTGTCTTGTGAGGTCGAGTTCCCTGAAGGCAGCAAGCATGTAATTGGTAAATTCTCATCAGTTAGCCATGTCTGGAACATGGTAGGTATTCAATAAAGGTTTTTGCTCATTTAATCGACTGTTCATTAGCATTTACTGAACCTCTACTGTGTGTCCAACACCGTAGCAGGCACTGAGGATGGAGCGGTGGAGAAAAACAGGCAACACACTCTGCACTCCATCTAGTGTGCAGAAAACATGCAAATAGTCATATACACCAAAACACTTCACACAACACAGACACTGCTGTAACATGCAAATAGTCACATAAAACACTTCACACAGCAGACTGACACACTGCTGTAACATGCAAATAGTCATATACACATGAAAACACTTCACACAGCACCCTGACACCCTGCTATAACATGCAAATAGTCATATACACATGAAAACACTTCACACAGCACAGCGACACATGGCTTTAACACGCAAATAGTCATATACACATGAAAACACACAGCACACTGACACGCTGCTATAACAAATAGTCATATACACAAAAACACTTCACACAGCACACTGACACGCTATTACACGTAGATAGATACACGAAAACACTTCACACAGCACACTGACACACTGCTGTAACATGCAAATAGTCATATACACATGAAAATACTTCACACAGCACCCTGACACCCTGCTATAACATGCAAATAGTCATATACACATGAAAACACTTCACACAGCACCCTGACACCCTGCTATAACATGCAAATAGTCATATACACATGAAAACACTTCACACAGCACAGCGACACATGGCTATAACACGCAAATAGTCATATACACGTGAAAACACTTCACACAGCACACTGACACGCTGCTATAACAAATATATACACAAAAACACTTCACACAGCACACTGACACGCTATTACACGTAGATAGATACACGAAAACACTTCACACAGCACACTGACACACTGCTGTAACATGCAAGTAGTCATATACACAAAAACACTTCACACAGCACACCGACACACGGCTATGTCAGAAAGGCGTGCAGTACTCTGTGAGTGTAGGATGGTGTCGAGACTCAGGAAAGAGTTGTGCAGAAAAGGGTATGTGAGTGAGGGGTCAAGGCCGAGCATCTAGGTGGAAAGTCCCGGCAGAGGGAGCCGTGCAAGCATCCCCTCAGGCAGCAGGGACGTGGCACGACTGGGGGACCGGTGGCCCGAGGGCAGAGGCAGAGCCGGGAGTGTGCGAGGTGAGCATGGAGAGGAAGCCACTGCACCCCAGAAAAAGGCACTCCTCCCACGAACAGGAGAGTCCACAGAGATTTCTGCAAAGGGAGAAGCCATGAGTGCTCGTTCAGTGCCTACAGTGTTTGGGGCAGCTGTGCATTTTCTTCACAAATTCATTCTTTAAGAAACACTGCTCCATGCGTTATACGAGACAGAAAATCCCGGTTAATACTAACAGATCCTTAGCTCGGGATTGTCCGGAGCAGGCACGCTGTCGGCAGGGGCTGCTCTGGGGTCTGTGGTGTCAGGGGCTCCCCAGAAGCTGCAGCGCAGAAATGGGGGAGGCTGAGAGCGACTCAGGCCTCTCTGCAAATGAAGCTGAGGGGAGATACCTTTCCGATCATGCTGGTGATGAAACTCGCAGACACAAGTGACTAACCAATTGATAAGTATTGCTCACTACTCGCAGAAAATATAGATTTTTTTCTTAAAAATCATAGACAAAACACAGTTAAATAATTTAATGGTTATACCTTTCCTGACATACTATGTAACCTTGGCTTATATGCCTGGCTTAGAGATGTTTTCCAAAGTTGTGGTGTAATAAAAACATTTAAATAGTGAGTATTCCGGTGGTATTTTTGAAATGGCAGTTACCAGCAAATAAACGTCTGTTTGGACGTGGTAACAGGGAAACTACTCTGCATCCGTTCACCCCTCTCAACAGTTGATTCTCCTGCAGCACAGAAGACTTTCTTTATTTATGAAGCAAACGTCTTCTTCACTCCCAGGACTTCACCACTGGTAGGCCACCCTAGCCTGCCTCTAATCATCACTTCATCGTCTTTCACAACCTGCATTTTCCCTGCCCCTGATTTCTCATTCTGTTATTGACCTCTTGCACATTCCCCCTCTGGTGTGAATTACTTTTGCCGACTAAACTCAGGCATGGTACCAAAACTATAATTTGAGCTCACCCCCATGGTCGCAACCTCAGGCTGATCGCATGACCTAATCTCAGCAGAATCCTCCCAGCTCAGGGACCGCACTCTCAGACGGCAAGGCCAGTGATCCCTCAAATTCATCCCACGCAGGTGAAGACAGCTCTTCCCTCAGAAGACGCAGGTTGCAGCTAGCTTGAGGAGAGATCAATTCTTCCCATGCAAAGGCACGAATATCCTGTGGCTAAAGTGTATTGGAATTTCCCTCTGATTAAGTATGTTTATAATTCCATCTGCAAAAACCAGCAGTAAGCTGAACTGGAAAGCATTACCTGAGATTATATTTCCATTTTGCCCCATTAAAAAAGACTAGAATTTAATTTTATCTCAGCACAGATGCTTAAATCGAATGCGTACTTCCTTAGGAATGAAGAAATAGCAATGTATGTAAGGATAAGTAAGTCAGAATGAGAGAAAAAAACAGTTTTTAAAAAAAGTACAGGTGACTAAAGCAGCATAGGGCTAAGTAGGTTTAAAGGATGAAGACATTAATAAAGAGCTTCCTGCAGGGTTATCAACAGAAATACTTTTTCATAGAAATTAGTGGGGTTTACACACTGCATGTTCTCAGTTATAGGTGGGAGCTCCAAGCTATGCATTGAGCACACATGGACGTACACATGGGAACAACAGGCGCTGTGGACTGCGCGGGGCAAAGAAGGGAGGGGCATGCATTGAAAAACTAGCCAGGGGTACGATACTCACTAGCTGGGTGTAATACACCCATGTAACACACCTGCATGTGAACCCCCATATCTAAAATAAGAGCTGAAACTTTCAAAGAGGAGCAGTTACTTTGACTGACTTTTATTAGTAGTTGTAACTCTTTTCTTTTCCTGGAAACCTGAGTCCTAAATTGGAAGGTAGTAGCCACAGGGTACCGTAGTTCAGACAGTTTTTGAAGATAAGCAATTAAAATAGATCAGGGAATGGCTCCTTTTCAAACTTGTGAGCTAAGAATCCAGAAAGCAGGTTGTTCCAAGACGATGCTGTGAAAGAAAAAATTGGCCTTTCACTGGGGACAGGGTTCTTTCCAACCTTATGTCTGGCTCTTGTACTTTCTCTTTCATCTCCTTTGTGACCCCATGGACTCTCAAATTGAAATGAATTAAATTTATTCACATTAAGGCATTAAACTACTAATGGCTTCATGTGTTCTGTCTTCCACTGGTGTTTGTATTTGATAGAAAATAATGCCCTAAAAAATGAATGGTTTAGGGAAGCTAATGGAAGAGATGAAGGCTGGAAGGGGCAGGTTCTCAATCACATGACGTTCAGCGTGCTCAGCTACATAATCAGCTCAGAAAGGAGCCTGAACATTGATTCTCAAAGTGTGGGCCAAAGTCCCCTGGGACATCCTGAGACTTTTTCAGTGGCAACAGGAGGCCAAAATGACTTTTATAATAATACTAAGATGTTATTCGCCATTTTTACCCTCATTCTCTCACAAATATACATGAAATTTTCCAGAAGATTCATGATAGGTGACTTCATAACAGATTAAATGCAGAAACAGAATAGTAGAGTTATCTTTTATTAAGCTACACATTAAGGAGATTTGCAAAAATGTAAAACAATTTCTCTCTTCTCAACACATTTATTTGGTTTTAAAATAAATGTGATTAATATACGATTAAAATAAATTACAAAATTAAATATAATTTTAGAACTAAATAAATTAAAATAAAAATTAAATTGGAATTTAATTTTTTTTTTTTTTGAGACAGAGTCTTGCTCTGTCTCCCAGGCTGGAGTGCAGTGGCACCATCTTGGCACACTGCAACCTCTGCCTCCCAGGTTCAAGCAATTCTCCTGCCTCAGCCTCCCGAGTAGCTGGGACTACAGGTGTCCGCCACCACACCCAGCTAATTTTTTTGGATTTTTAGCAGAGATGGGGTATCACAAGGTTGGTCGGGCTGGTCTCGAACTCCTGAACTCAAATGATCCGCCCGCCTCGGCCTCTCAAAGTGCTGGGATTACAGGCATGAGCCACTGCGCCAGGCGGAATTTAATTTTTTTTAATTTTCATTAAAATGTTATTTATTTGAAAGGTTGGTAATTATTTAAAATTAACTAATAAATATTTTAAATATTTGTCCATTTCAAATCTTAGTATGATAAATATGGTTTTATATACATATTTATATAAACAAATCATAAATTTATTTATATATTTATATTTTTTACTATATATTTTATAAATATTTATTTTTATCCCATAAAAGTGAAAGCTTTTCAGGGGGTGCAACACATTTTAGATTATAAAGAAGTTCTGAGAACAAAAAGCTTGAGAACCACTAAACAGTGTTCTTATTCTGATCCTGACTGTTTTCTGTGGTTTACCTGTTTAAGACTTCTTGGTGATCTTTGATTGACATATTCATCAAATCTGCATCCCATATATTTAATAAAGACAGGAAGAGAGAGAGGGAGGCAAAAAAAGAGGAAGGAAGAAAGGAAAGGGAAGAATAGATGAAGGGAATAAAGGAAACCTAATAAACTATCCACAGGGAATGCACTGTAGGGGCCACGGGGTGTGTATTCAGTGCACACCAGGTTCACGGCCAATACCCAGCTGTGCTCATGACTGAAATGCTTCCAGCAGATGTGCTACGCCCTGGATATCTTCCACATAAACCTGACCTGTGTTCATTTCCTGAACACACTGTAGACAGATTTACTCTTAGACGTTTTGTTTGACTTACCCTTTGTTTTACGACAAAAAATGTAATTGCTGGTAGTTAAATGTAGACAGTTTTATGTGAAAGTCTGTATTTCCGTTTTATCTTGAATTTGAAAATAACTGGTAAGACAGTCACCAAGGACCTGTGACGAACAGTGGGCTGGAGCTGCGGAGCCGCTGTCCCTCGCAGCAGGGCACCAAGCACAAACGTCCCGGAGTCACCTCTGACCTGCCCCAATCTTCCCTGTTACCTACCCCGGCAGGACTCTGAGAGGAGGCTAATTGTCTCAAGATCATCTTTAAATCTCTTCGGGCACATGAGAACAATGTTCTGTGCCAACAAAAATATAAATTAAAAGGCAAAAAGTCACCCGATCACACCACACAGTGGCAGCCCTCTACATTTTGGTCTGTTTTTAGCAAGCATTTTTTCTCATGTTTAGTATTACGTACTTAGGATCATATATGATACACGATTACACAAAAATGAGGATGTTTTTGTATATCCACGAAATCACTGTATTTTCCATATTAGAGTAAGTGTTTGACATGCCATTAAAAGTGCTTTTAAACATAGTGTTCAGTCCTGCGTAATTCCCCACTGTGTGCAGGCACCATAGCTCACTCCGTGAATTCTGTCAACATTTAGGTTCATTTTTTCTTACTGTAAATAATGATGATGAACATCTTTATAAAACAGCTAGTTATACTTAGGATAAATCCTAAAAGCGGGTGAAAGAATATACATACTTTTAAAGTATTTACTATGTGTATCTTCTTTCCCTTGGATGGAAATATAAGCAGTTTTTTATTTTACTTTTTGTAAAATTTTCAATTAAAAGTTTATTTTTTCAAAATTTATGTTCTGTATTAGCAAACAGAAACAAGGAGCTAAAATTTGAATCCCTAAAGTACATTTTAAGTGTTACTTTAAATATATTAGGCTGTCTATGCTATGTGGCACAAAAACATAAAAACTGTGGACTTGGTCCAAATGCTTGGGTGGTACCATTCTTTGTGGGCTGGTGTTCTCATTTTTTAACTCCTTTTTTGCACATCCATTATTGGGACACTTCTGGACTATGATGTCAAGGTGACCATTCTAACAGGCTAGTTTTTTAACTGCAGTCTGTGGCCACATGAGAGGCTTTGTAAAAGTCCTGGATGAAATTCTCACTTTAAAAATTGTACGTCTGACACTAAGTGGACATTCAAGTGTGCTGATAATGAGTGCGGGGAAGCTTTCACTAACTGAGAAGAAGGGCAGAAATTAGCACGAAATCATGGAGTAGGTGTGGGCAGCAAGAAGCCAAGCACAACCTGAAAGAAAAGGGAACATGATTAAGCAAATCTGATCCCAGGGCAGCTAAGAAAACCACAGACGATGTTGCCACCAAAATGGACATGTGACTGATGCAATATTTATATACACAAATGTAAAGCAGAATTTGCATTCTATCATCTTCAGGTTAGGCATGGATCAACCCCAAAACAAGGATTCTATGCTACAGACTTAGGAGAAAACCTTACCATAAGAAAAACTACTTCAAAGTCATCTGGACTAACAATCTGATCCTCATGGCTAATGCATGCTGAACAGAACACAGGGCAGCAAAAATTGACCCCAGAGAAGGAAGGAAGAGGGAACGGGAAAGGAGAGTTTGGTTATCATTGCTCTTGGAGAAACAAGATGCATGATGTTTTATTAATAGGCACAATTCCTTTATGTAAGTAACCTGATAAAAGGTAGTAGGTTGATTTCATGCTCTGCTGAAGAGAAGTGGGATGGCTTTCTACCCTGAAGCCACTAGGGCTCTTTTAGGCACTGCATGGAGCATATTTGCTTTTTTCCTTTATATAAATTGCAAATAGCATCTTAGTCACATAAAAGAGTTGGTCCAGCTCCCTGCAAAAATGCTCTGTTATGTCCAGTGTGCATTTCATATATTTCACATGCTCCAGGGGCTGTCAGCTCATGCAGTCATATCCAACATTGACATTGACTATGGCAGTCACAGTGACAGCAGTTTTGTTCTTTCATGCCATTTGGTACTCCACAATGCACTACTTAACCCAAGACAATTTTCAGGTTTCACTGATATCTTTGAATCCCCTTAGAAAGAGGAAACCTCCCTAAAAAGATCTTAGGACATGCAACCAAGTATGAATTCTACTTAGAAAATCTTATGATATGTGACTAAGGTACATAAAATTCTCATATTTTAGCCAGTTTTATTCATCACAAAGTTTTGGAGACATAGATTCCATTGTGTTCTGATTCACAACTGCTATTTACTCATTCAATTAATAAATCTGTACTGAATGCCTAGTTGTGCCAAGTGCTTCTAGGCCCTGGTCATAAAGCAGTAAACAAGACAAACAGGACTTTCTGATCTCGTGAAGAAAACTAAACAGGGCAGACAGAGTGCCAGCCTGCCATGCAAGCACCGTGATCAGGGAAGGGCTCGCCAGAAGGCCCATGAGCGAGACCTGTAGAAGTGAGAGAGCCACCCACAAAGATGTTGGAGAAAGGATGTTGCAGACAGAGGCCCAGAGGAAGGAGCATAACCTAACACGTTTGAAGAGCAGGAAGCAGTCAAGAGAGGGTGAGCAAAGGAAGCACATGTGAGGTGGAGAAGGAAGGGGCTGGGGGCCACCAGATGGAGGGTTTTTGGTTTTTACTGATTGTGGTGAGAAGCCATTGGACATGTTTACAAAGGACTGATATTACCAGACCTGTCTTTTAACAGGATCCCTACGTAATGAATAGAAGACTAAGAAGAACCAGTGGAAGAGGGAGAACAGTTAAGAGACTATTGCCATAATCCAAGTGCAAGGTGGAGGTGACTTGGACCAGGAGTAGCAAGATGAGTGGTGAAGAGGGGTCAGGTTATGGATCTATTTGGAAGGTAGAATCACAGACGTTCTGACAGATTAAATTAAGCATAGTGGAGAAAGAAGGGAGTGTAAGGATTATCTCCTAGGTACGTGGGTATACCCATTTGGAGTTCAAGGGTAAGGTCTGGACTAAACCTTTGAATCTGGGAGTCGTCAGTGTATGGATGGTGCTTAAAGCTATGAGACTGTTTGAAATCCCTAAGGGAGTACATGCGGGTAGAGAAGATGTCAGAGGACTAGCCCCTAAGCTGTTGCAGCGTGTAAAGCACAGGGTGAACAGCAGGAACCGCAAAGCAGAGGGAGAAATGAGGCCAACGATGAAGGAAGGAAACCAAGAAGTCTGGGGTGTCATGGAGCCAAGTGAGAAAGTGTTTGAGGGTCAGGCAACAACCAGCTGTGCAAATGCTATTCATGGCTAAGTGAGAAGAGGGTTAAGAATTGATCATGGGCTATAACAACATGGAAGATATTCACATTTTGAAATGAGCAATTTCTGTGAAAGGACAGAGGAAACTGTCAGACCTAGTGGATCTGAGAGGAAAAATGAAGACAGAAATTGGAGATGGTAAATATGAAAACCCTTCCAAAGAATTCCACTCTGAAGAAAGCAGAAATAGTGCAGTAGTTTGAAAGGAACATAAGATCAGGACAGGTAGTGCCAGATGGGAAAATTCAACTGTGCATGTTGATAGGAACACTCCAGTAGAGACAGAAAAGTCGACATTGTGGGAGGTAGAAGGAGAATTGCTGGAATTCGAGAGAGACATTGGGATTTAGTGCTCCAGTTTAACTTATGGGTAACAAAAAGGAAGACAGTGTTTGGACATAGATCCAGGTGGGGGGTGATGAGGAAGTAGCAGTTTGCAGAAGCTCTCATCTTATTCTGGTTTTGGCTTAAATTTGTTTTTCTTTCAGTGACATATACCCCAAAGTCATTAACTGAGAGTGAGGATGGGAGAGAAAACATTAGAGGCTTAAGAGGAGAGAGAATCTGAAGGAGCCTCCCAGAAACATGAATGAGCGAGGGAAGGCATTAGAATGGCAGGTGTGCTAGGAGCCTACTAGCGGTTAGCGACAGGGCCAGCTGCATTGGTGGCTTAATGTGTGTGACTGTGGAGTCACACATAATTTTTGCAATTTGTAAGTTTATGTTATTTCTCGTGTGTCACTGTTGCCTGCTTTATGGTTTATAAGTCACAAATTATTTTGAAAATGAAAACACCTTAGATTTTAGTGCATTTAATGAGGCTTTTTAAAAATGTCTTTTGAACGAACAGCCCCACACTTTCATTTTGCCCTGGGCCCTGCAAATCAGGCAGCCAGCCCCGGTTAGTGATCACGAATGTAAGGGAAGAGCAATCAGCGTCACTGTGGGCTTCTCCAGCCACACTCAGCTCTGTGGAGAGCTGGATTTACAAGGGATAGAGTTGTGCCAGGTGGTTACCACGAGGAGAGAAAGGGACAGGTTTGTTGAGAATATATAAAAATGATGATTCTGAAAATCAACTGGGAGTAAATAGACCCCATCTGGCTCCAACTCAATAAAACGTATACACTATACATCAGTGTATATTGTAAGTGTCACATCATACCTCAGGGAAGGTGCATTCCCCAGGGATCCTCGCACAGGATCCAGCAGTGGCTGAGCTATCTCTCTAGTTCTTTGATAGAAGCACCTGAAATTTTACCTGCTGTTGCTGGTTACACGCAAACCTCCTGTTAGTGAACAGTTAATTACTCCCAGAGGATGCAATACCTGAGTAGCTCCCAAAGTTTCCTGTGGGAAAGTTATCTTGGAGGAGCCAGTGTATTGAACTTCTTCAGCTAACAAATTTCTTCACCATGTGCATGACTATCTCGTTACAAGTTCCCACAGGCATTCAACACATTTGCTTTCTTTATTATTTTGTTAACATCAGACCATTTCCTAACTCATTACAGCTTATCCTATTACACATTACCATATGTCATGATTACTTTTATGTGTCAACTTGACTGGGCTACAGGGTGCCCAGATATTAAGCCAAACATTATTCTTGGTATGTCTGTGAGGGCTGTGAGAGTTTCAGGAGGAGACTAACATTTAAATTGATAGAGTAAAGCCAGTTGTCCTCCTAATGTAGGTGAATCTTATCCAACCAACTGAAGGCCTGAATAAAACAAAAAGTCTGGCCCTCTTGTGGAACAAGGGAACTCCTTCTGCCCGGCTGCTTGAGCTGGAACATCACCAGTCTTTTCCTGGCTTCTGACTCAAATGGAAACATTAGATCTTCTGGGTCTTGAGCGCACTGGCTTTTGAACTGTAAATCACACCATCAGCCCTCCAGGTTCTCAGGCCTTCAGACAGGCTGGAACTATACCATCAGCTCTGCAAGGTCTCCAGACTTCAGCTTGCCAACTAGAGATCACAGGACTTCTCAGCCTCTATAACTGTGGCAGCCAATTCCCTACAAATAATCTCTCTCTACACACACACACACACACACACACACACACACACTTCTGTTTCTTTGGAGGATCCTGATTAATATACTGTTATTCCTTAGTTTGCAGTTATTACTCTCATGTTTACAGTAACCACAATGTTCCTGTATTCCTCAGCCATCATACAACTGCAGGCTGCACTCCAAATTCTCACAAGCTTAACTGGATATAACTTCACAATAAAACCCAGGTATAAGAATAAAAGGTGTCTTGCCCAAATCCCTCTGCAGAAACAGTTCAAACATCTGCTATGCTGATAGTTGCTCAACAAAAGTAATTATCATACTTTCATATTCAACAAACATAAAAAAAATTCTGTGAGAATTTTTACAATTATTAACTTTAATTCTTAAAATATTCTAGTGAATAAACCATTATTATGCCCATTAAAACATGAAGAATAAAGAGGATAAATAACTTGCTTGAGTTCATACATTTAGTATAGAGAAGAGAACATAGGATTTGTAATTAAATTCTTGCTTTTCTACTGTTACAAGTTACCTAAACTCTCTAAGATTGAATCTTTCATCCATGAAGTGGGAATAATACTGGCTACTGCAGGTAGTCATGGTGAGAATTCATGCTATTCTATATGTTCAAAGCCCAACACAGTGTCTGTTTTTTAGAAACTTAACACCTTTTCTTTGTTTCTATTTTCCTTTGTCTCTCTCTCCTAAGATCTTTTTGTCTGCCTTGTGAAAGACACTGAATTACATGGATGTCTCTGAAATAAGAATTAATATATTTTTTCAAACTCTGATTTTTTCAAAGCTGATAATTTATTCCAGGTCTCCTGTTTTGCAGGCTTGGTATTTGTTTTCTAAATCCAAATTTGAACATCCTTAGAAGCATATTCTTTCTAGTTTTCCACAGAACCCACTCTTCCCCGCTATCCACATTTAGTCCGATTCATACATTCACGTTACCTTCCTGTCCCTACAAGGTTTGGAATTTCAGCCCCTGCAGTGCATCCTATGATTCCATCACTTCAATGACTTCAGAACTTTTTGGTTTGGGCACAATGATCTAATTTTATTTTAAAACTTTGGAGAATGACACAAACAAGAGTTATTATTTTTAACAGTTCAGGAATTC